>NW_025791785.1:0-300000 GCF_000001405.40 Homo sapiens
CTTCCCTCCAGGATCTTGTAGTTCAAGAATACATTGCTCTATTACATACAGCAAAACAGTAAAAAGAAAAATAAGGGAGAGAGGAGAAATGACAGTCATTCCTCCCAGATGACCAGGGAATTAGGGGTGGGACCAGAACTCCCAGAAATCAGGGATCCTGATTTACTTTTCAGCATTTCACTCCGATCCCTGCCTGCTTCATGCCAACAGAGCTAATTACCGAGCATCATAATTACATTCTTCCTCACTAAGTTTCCCTGACAATTTCAATTAAATAAGGTGTCGTTCCTCTAAATCAAGTTCTTGCTGATCATAAATAAAGCTCTTGGTGATGATAAATAAAACTGTTAATAATCTAGACTCAAAGCGAGGTGCAGTCTCATCCCCCTGTGAATTCACAATCCCTGGAGGGTCCCTGTGAGTCTCATTGCTCTCCCACAAGAGCGTGCTTCTGTGCAGTTGGGTACTGTGGTTTTCCCACTGCCGAACGCATCCCTGGTGCCTTCTGAATGAGTCTACAACTCTTTGGGTTTAGGTTCCATTGTCGTCATTTTTAAATGCATCCATTACTTGCAGATCGCTGAGTCAATGTATAATGAAAAACTCAATTCTATTTAAGGGCTAAACGATAAAATTCGCCAAAAATATGGGTGGAATGATAAGCGGTACAGAAATGAAGAGAGATTGAAAAGAGTCCTAAGAGGTAAAGAAGATTAAAAGCACGGAAGTTTAGCTTAAAGAGATCTACATAACCCAGGCAGTGCCTTGGGAGAGAATTGCCATAGAATACCTGATTTCTTCCATTTCAATGGTACCATCTGGGACCCAAGGCCCATTCTGACCTTCACTGTCATTATGGGGAAAAGGTGAATTCTGTCATTGCTATAGCAACCTTCCTTTTCAGCCTTTCCTCTCATTTTCCTCAATTCATCTTCTGTGAGTTGCTTATCTCCCCTCGTTATCAAGTGACTAGCAACTCTTCAATTATTTTTTAAACCTGAGTTAAAGTCCCAGCTGTATCATGGAGAGTTTTGTCCACATTAGTAAAATAAAATCACTTCCTGTCATAAACCTCTGGCTCGTGGAGATGGGCTTTATTAAATAGCTCATGTTAATTGTGAGTTGACATCCCCTATTGGGTAATGCACGTGTGACCATGTTGGAAGAGAAGAATTTCAGGTGAAAGGCCCATTTATTTAAACAGATCTGTCCTCCACAGTTCTACCAAATAAGCCCCAATTGTGGAGTTTCTACAGATCCTTCCATTTTGTATCTATCATCTCATGAATTTTAAGGGAAAAAAAAAGAGAGGAAAAAGGTGTCCCACTGAGGAGGGGTGGTTCCATTCTCCCACTGATCAGTTATGTAATCTTTGGAGAATCAGTTCAGGAGGCTGCACTTCAGTTTCCCCTTCCATTCAGTGGGCAGAGCAATGGCTCCCCTAGCTGTGTCTCAGGGATGCTGTGACTGTTTAAAGAGATACCGCGTATCAAAATGGTATACCGATGTAAGCTATTATTACATAATTCAGACGTTTTCTACACCCATCACGATTCATTTCAGAGCACTGTTGGCTGTTCTTCAGTGACAGCCATGTGCTGCTTTCGTGAGTATAATTGGGCGGCGAGCCATGCAGCTTCCTGGATTAGTGAGTTTTTGTTTATGAAGTTTCCGATGTTTAGAATTTTTTCTCCATCTTTGCTAATTGGCTTTAAATGCTAGTAAGGAAGAAGCTGCTACTGCCAGTAAATTAAAATTGCCTGCATTTCATTCCTTTCCAAGCCTTGTTTACCCAAGCCAGAATTCATTTTTTGTTCAACATTTTAAAAACCTTTATTATGTTAGGTGGTAAAGCACAGAGAGAGGCATGCTCAATGCTTGAGCTTTGATTTTTTTGCATTCCATGATGTGTATGTGTGTGTGTGTGTGTGTGTACACATGTGTGGGAGGACTGGGTACCATTTTGGATAGCTTTCAGGCCTCTTGACACGACCATAAAGGGAAAGCTTGGGGCTTGTAAAGAACTTTACCAACATCTTCTGAAATTAAACCAACCATTCTGTTGGTTTTTCTGTTTCTACTGATCAGTTTTCTTCTATTGTTACTGCACTTGTTTACTTCGGCTGCCATAAAACAAAATACTATAGACTGGGTGGCTTAAACAACAGTAATTTATCCTATCTCAGCTTTTATATGTATAGTATATTTTCTCCAAGGTTTTATACCAATTTTAGGCATAACTGGCCTTTTCCATTTATGAGTTTTGGGTTCTGAAAAAAGTTACAACCTCTCTAAGCCTTCATTTCCACCTCTCTACAAATGGAGAAAATATTGCTTCTGTGCAGGTTTTATTGTGAGATCAAGGACATAATGTACAAAGCCTGGCACCAGGTAAGTTCTCAGCAAACATGTCTGTGTGGCTAGATCCAATGTCCTGGGCCAATGCTGGACAGGCTCCTTCCCTACATAGCCCTCCAAAGAGAAACAGAACCTGGGACTCAGAGCCCAGGATTTGCCGTATCCCCCCGAGAGTCACTGACTCACAGTAGGGAGGAGCGAATTTATGCTTTCCAGCCTGGGTCTCAGAGACCGTCCTAGAATCTTAATCCTAGCACCCCTCTTAGTCTTTCAGTTAGATAACCCATCTCAATTTAAAGATCTCTACAGGAAAAGAAAATGACAATTCCCTCTCCTCTCTTTTTCACACCCCACCCAGTGCTACACAAGAGCTTTCAAAACTCAAATCTGTGGGTACGAAAACCCTCCTGTTTATTTTTACTAAAAACAAGAGAATCACACACACACACACATGCACACACACACACTTACACACACACTTGCACACACACACATACACACACACAACATCATGGAATGCAAAAAAGGTTTGATATCATGAGAAGATTAACTGAAAAGCAATTATTCTAATCACCAGCTATGGAAAAAGGCATAAAGAATTAATCAGCAGCTACATTTCAAGCTAGAAACAGAGTGAACTATGGTGGAGCTGTTGGGATCACGGGGTCTGAAGTCAAGGTCCCTGGTCTCAAATTCCAGGCCCACCATTTACCAGTGGCAAGGCATGGGTCCAGCTGCTTAACCCCTCTTCCCCAGTTTCCTCAAAATGTGCTGGAAATAAAATAATATATAAAATGCACTTAGAACATCACCTGGTGAGTGGCAAACACTCAATGAACATTAGCTGCTGCACTTACCTTTATGATCACTATCGCATAAACGCCACAAGATGCAGGTGCAGCGATGACTCATGGTGAACGCAGACAGGTGCGAGCACCACACTACGCTGTGGGACGCCCTGAAGGCGAGGAACAGAATGACACAGCTCCATCTCCACAGGACCTGCCAATTTTTAAGCAACCACTGCACATAATCTGAGCTCACATCATAGCCATCCTAAAAGGCGGATAGTTTCATCCCATTTTTGCTCATTAAATGAGTTATTAACCCAAGACTACAAAGCTAGTAAATGATGACGCAGGGATTCAAGCTCAATCCTTTCACTAGAGCTTAGTGAAAAGGTTGAATGACTAAACCACGGTGAAGAGCTAAAGGGAACTTGGACCCTTGCCTCTTACCCACCCTACATGGCATCATCTTGACTGAGTCTCTTCAGAAGAGACTATGGTAGACCAGGTGGCTCCGTTTCAGAAGAGTCCATTATGACTTTATGGTTTCCAACGGAAAGCACATGCAGTTCAATGTAACCACACTCATGAAAGGTACATTCCCTTCATGCCTGGACCCCCGCACCTACCTTTGTGCCTTACTCCCTCCCTTCCTCTATCCTTTCCTTCCTTCCTTCCCTCCTTCATTCCCTCTGTCATTTATCCCTCCCTTCCTTCTTTCCTTCCCTCTCTCTCATTCTCCTTCCTTTCTTTTCCTCCCTCCCATCCTTCTTTCTTCCTCCCTTCTTTCCCATCCTCCTTCCTTTCTGCTTTCCTTCCTTCCTTCTCCTCTCCTTCCTTCCTTCTCCTCCTCATTCCTTCTTTTTCATCACTCCTTGTTTCTCCTTCTGTGAAATGGGTATAATGATATTTTCCTGCCTCTGTATACCAAGGTTTTTATGTGAACTGAACCAATTCCTTCATAAGATATCTTTGCTTACATGATGAAGCTGGTGAGCTTGTTTGTTTTCTCTGTTTTGCTTTGTTTTTCTTCTTAAACTTCTTAACAGCCCCAGACTCCAACTGTGCAAGATGGTGGGAAAGCCTTCAACAGGAATTACTCTGGAGAAGCTAGCAACCTTAGCAACTGCACATCGTTCAAGATCAGCTGTCCAGAAGGCTCTCTGTAGAACAGAATAGCTAAATACATCCCCTGGCCTGCAGCTTTACCTCATAAAAAAAGATGAAAGGCACAATCATTGCTGCTTTTGCCACCTAATAGATAAAAATAGCATTGTATCTGGATTACAGGGAGAAAGAAAGCATCTCCTGGGCAGGTGCCACCCACAATCCTTATTCCTCCCCAGGCTATTCCATTCTAAAGGAGAAAACTAAACATTTCAAAAACCAAACACGGTCTCTTGAGCACAGAGGCCTCAAACAATGTTCTCACTGAAGATGTGTCACCTGAGAAAAGTTTATTTCCAGGGTTGTGACAATCCCTACTAATAAGGAGCTTTGCAGGCAAGAACACGGTGCTGGTCAGAAAGTCCACGTTGCCTGATGCTTGGCGCCTTCACTTGAGTTAACAACACCTCAGATCATCCGCTTGGCTTTTCATGTTTGAATTTCCCCCTAGAAACTGCTTCAGGCACAGAGGGAGAGCTGTGATCGTTTTTATTTTGTTTCATGTCCAACTGTTCCGTAATCCAGCTATGAAAGAATTGTCAGCTTTAGTGGAATCCTTTTCCAAGCTTTTCATAGTCATGGTGAAAGACATCCATTCTGTTGGTTTTTCTGTTCCACTGATCAGTTTTCTTCTATTGTTATTGCATTTGTTTACCTGGGCTGCTGTAAAACAAAATATCAGAGACTGGGTGGCTTAAACAACAGGAACTTATTATCTTGCAGTCCTGGAGGCTGGAAGTCCGAGAACAATGCGTGGGCAGGGTTGGTTTCTCCTAAAGTCTCTCTCCTTGGGTTACAGATGACCATCTCCCAGCTGTGTCCTCATATGGCCCTTTCTCTGTGTACCTGCATCCCCGGTGTCTCTTCCTGTTCTTATAAGGCCACAGTCGTATGAGGTAGGGCCCCTTCCTTTTGACTTCATTTCACCTTAATGATATGGCTTGGCTGTGTCTCCACCCCAATCTCATCTTGAATTGTAGTTCCCATAATTCCCACATGTCATGGGAGGGAGCCAGAGGGAGATCATTGAATCCTGGGGACGGTTGCCCCCATACTGTTCTTGTGGTAGTGAAAAACCATCATGAGGTCTGATGGTTTTATAAATGGGAGCTCCCCTGCACAAGTTATCTTTGCCAGCTGCCTTGTAAGGCATCCCTTTGCTTTTCCTTCATCTTCTGCCATGATAGTGAGGCCTCCCCAGCCATGTGGAACTGTGAGTCAATTAAACTTCTTTCCTTTATAAATTACCCAGTCTTGGCTATGTCTTTATTAACAGGGTGAGAATGGACTGATAACATTTAATGACTTATTTAAAGCCCCTGTCTCCAAATACAGTCACATTAGGCATGAAGGCTTCACATATGAATTTCAGGAGGACACAATTCAGTCTTTAACAGTTATGCAGTGTATTTCATTTCCATATCCCCGAGATGAAACTCTTTGTTCATCTGTGGCTTCTTTGTTCCTCTGCTTTTATTTCCTGGGAAGGAGGCTTACAGGCGAGGTGAGGGCTGATGGGGTATCTTTAGGTGTGCAGGAGTCATTTCTGGGCTGGAAAACATGGTCCTGGATACACAGGTGTTGGTCCTGGGAATGCAGGAGTTCTAGTGACTGGAGCAGATCCATTTTAGAGCCATTGCTCTGTCTTTGAGGAGTTCTCATGCTTCCATGAAAACCACATAAAGATGAAAGAACATTATCAATTTGGACGTTTCAAATGACCAACCTAAATGCTTAATGAGGGAAATGAAATGATCATTAAAAATATAGACAGACTCAGGAGCACATTAACTCAGTTCTTGTAACTAGGGGCAGAGAGCCTTGGATAATTACTGTATGAAATTGGATGAATGGCTGTATGCCTTTAGAAGAGAGTAATATCTACATGCAAGTGAATGTGATGAATATATTACCTACCACAAGTAGGTTAATAAGTGGAAGTGGTAACCCTTGATCCACACATTTTTAGAATCTCTCTATAACTGTAGAAACACTGAGGCTTTTCGTGAGGATTCTGAAATCGTATGCTAAAAACATTTTCAGGGTATTCTGAAGAACAGACAGACAGACAAAAATGAGACAAGCTCTCCATCAGAAGGACAAAGATCTTCTCCGTCTTAGGGAAGGGCCACTAGCTCATGCGGGGCCAGTGCTCCTGCTGTCCTCTCCATCTAACCTCCAGAATCTTCCTCTCCAAGGACTCAGTCCTGGGTTCCTTTAGAGTCCAGCTAAGGCCAAAACTCCCCCATGGAATATCTAGTCCACAATGACCACCTTGTCCTCTGAACGCCTATCTGCCATCCAGACTTGTGATTTTGGTTTTCAAGCTTACTGCTTTGTCTTTCTGTTTAACTATTAGATTTGTCACTGGAAAGGGGCAAAAGCATAGGATTTCAGAGTGGGAAGGGCACAAGGAGACTTTGTAACTGATTTTACACAGAGAAAAATGAGATCATGGCCAGTTGAAGATATTCTGTTACAGAAGGCCAAACAAACTAAGACTAGCCTATGGAAACCTAGGTCAGGCAGCTTCACTGGTAAAGAAGGCAGGTGTGGTGGTTCACACCTGTAATACCAACACTTTGGGAGGCTGAGGAAGCAGGATGCCTTGAGCCCAAGAGTTTGTAGACCAGCCTGAGCAACATAGGGAGAATCTGTCTCTATAAAAAAATTTTTGAAAATTAGCCAGGTGTGGTGGCATGCACCTATACTCCCACCTACTTGGGAGGCCAAGGCAGGAGGATCGCTTGAGCCTGGGAGGCAGAGATTGCAGGAAACAGAGGTCATGCTGCTGTACTCCAGCCTGGGCAACAGAGAGAGACCCTGTCTCAAAAACACAACAACAAAAAATTGAGATCCTGAGAAGCTAGAGAACTTGCTTGAGGACAGCCTACTACGTGGAAATAGAGCCCAGAGAAGTATCCTGTTCTCTTCAGTGGAAGGTCAAAATTCTCCCCCTCCCACACGCATATGAAAGCCAAGTAGCTCCTGCATCCTGCCACATCCCTTATGACCTAACACGCAGCACCCACACGTGGCCAGTCCAGGTGAATGCCTACCTTCCAAACACCAAGACAGGTCAATCAGCAACAAGGACAGGAAGATGAGGCATTCTCTCACTCTCCTAGGAACAGGAACTCTTGGCCTCCCTGTTCTGACCTTAAGTCCTATTTTCATGTACTTTCCAGCTCACCTCTTCATTTGGTCAGAGGTAGCATTTTGCCCTGTATCATCTATATCTTGCTTTGCTAAAATTGCTTCACATCTAATGAAAATATCATCGGCCAGCTTACAACATTTTATTGCATTTGAGATATCGATGGCCAGAGGGAAGTTATTAAGAAGTGAGAGTTATTATCTGGACATGAGCACAGGAATGAGTCATTATCCACTGTGTTTCTTCCAGCAGTTTCATGAGAGATGAGACAAGCTGGTGGCAAGTTTCAGTTAGTCCACATCACACACCTTCTGCTTTGGAAATGTGAGGGTCGAGCAAGCTGGAAAATGTGTTTGTTTCCAGACAGCTTCCCACCAGCTGCCTGGAGACGCAGCCTCTCAGAGGTCTGGTCATGCATCCAATTTATTCTCTCCACGGGGCGAGTCTGTTGATAAAGGTCACAATGAAAGTTACAAGCACGTCAGTGGGAGAGTGCCTGTCCAAACCTCCTACAGAGGGAACAAGGAATAACAACAAACAGCAGGTAGTTTCTTAGAGATCTCTCACCTGCTTCTAAACAACATTCTCTGCCAAGCAGGGGCTGGGTTTTTGCAACTTCTTCTGCTAGGATTCACCCCAGTCCTGCCCATCCGCCCACCCTTTCATTCTCACTCGATCCACCCATGACCTTTCCTTCTTGGTTTTGATGCTGCAGTAATGTCTTCAACACCACGTTAGAATTTCCTTTCCCTCTGACTTCCACTCGGAGTAACTGATTTCGAAACACACATACACACATGCACACATGTACACACACATGCACACACACACACACAAACCCACACATACACAAACACATGCACACACACGTATGAACACATGCACAAACACACATACAAAACACACGCACACACAGATGCACACACACAAATACACAAACCCACACATGCACAAACACACACACACAGAGAAACACACACGCACACACAAACATACACACACAAATGCACACACAAGCACACACAAACATACACACACAAATGCACACACACGCACACACAAACATACACACACAGATGCACACACACGCACACACAAACATACACACACAAATGCACACAAACATGCACACAAACACAGGCAACATGAAAAAGCGGCATGACTTGGAGGTGAAGCTCAGCTCTGCTATTCAGCGTGGAATCGTGATTACCCATCATTGCTGTGCCTTTTATCTTCATCTATAACATGGGACTGGTGACACCAAACTCCTGGGGTTGCCATGAGGATGACGTGGATAATGCACATAAACACTCAGCACCATGGCAGGAACATGAAAGGACTCATAAAACCGTACCTATGATTTTTTTTACAGATACCAAGAAAATACTCCTAACCTCCCTCCCTGTACTTGGCTGTATCATCTCCTATCTGTCAGCAACTGTGCTATTACTAAGAATCATAAAAGTTGTGTACAGTGTCATGCTCCTGTAAGCCCTGAATCAAAAGTATTCTATTAGGGAGAAGTCCCCCATTGTAAGGCAGACCATAGCCATAAATGGTTTAAAAAATTCACTCAGTGCATTGCTGTAAGCAAGAGGGGTCACTATCTATTACACGCTGAGAAGTTCACATCAAGGTATCCACCACAATCCCAGACATCAAAACTCCTACAGTCCAATTGCTAAGACATGAATTAATATTAATACAGGAGATTAATCGGAAGATAATATTAACACACGCTTCTGAAAGGCAGGGCTATGCTGTGCATCTCTAGACACAGACATACATGTTTAAGCAAACCCAACATACACAGAGTGGAGGGTGAATCCGTGGATATAAGCGAAGGGGCAAGAGTAAGCAGTAAAATGAAGGTAAGTCTGACAACAGTTCCAAGAAGGGGCCGATCAGGCAGGAAGAGCAGGGGAGGGACTCATAATGGAAGCTGCGCTGGTGCAGAGAACCGAAGGATGGGAAAGACTCACAGACTGGGAGAGAGGAGGCTAGGCATGTTGGACAGGGAAACAGCATTCCCAGGCTCACAGGTGGAGGAGAGCACCCTGTTCTGAAGGCAGAGGAGGTGCTGAGATGCTCCAGGCCACTTTATGTCACCAGAGCAAACACCACGGTGCCGCTACCATCGTTCTTAGCGCAGTAAATACTGAATGGGATTTTTTAACCATAAAGTCGGGTTCCTCTTAGCTCAGTAAACACTGAATGGAATTTTTTTTTTTTTTTTTTTTTTTTTTTTTTTTTTTTTGAGATGGAGTCTCACTCTGTCACCCAGGCTGGAGCGCTGTGGCGCAATCTTGGCTCACCGCAAGCTCCCCCTCCCGGGTTCATTTCTAACCATAAAGTCGGCTTCCTCTTAGCTCAGTAAACACTGAATGGACTTTTTAAACCATAAAGTCTGCTTCCTCAGATTCACCTGGGGAGGGCTGTAAAAAGTCTGGGGTCCAAGCCCATCCCCGGAGATTCTGATCAGATTGCACTAAGCAGTACCCCAGGTGACTCTAACGAAGCACCTGTTAGCAGGCTGCATCTTAGAATTGGCCATGGTGGAGGTTGGGGCACCAGATGCCCTGGGAACCCTAAAAGGGATGCTGCGTGTGAGATGGCAGTATAAGCCCAGGAGAAGTGGCTGACAGAGGCCAGACATGGCTCGGAGCACACAGCCATGCAGGAGAGAGAGCATTTTGGACAGGCCAGATCCCAGAATGCAGTAGGAATGCTGAGAGTAGCAGGGACAGGAGTGTTTGCATCTGGGTGCCTGGCTGCAGCACGGGATATGGCCCTAAATATGAACCCTTGTGATAAAAATGTCTCACTACTAGTCCACTGGGCATTACATATGCCTCATGTTCAAATCCACCCAGCACTTTTTTTTCTTTTATTTTACTTTAAGTTCTGGGAGACATGTGTTGAACGTGCATAGGTATACATGTGCCATGGTGGTTTGCTGCACCTATCAACACATCATCTAGGTTCTAAGGCCCACAGGCATTAGATATTTGTCCTAATGCTCTCCCTCCCCTTTACCCTATCCCCAGACAGGCCCTGGTGTATGATGTTCCCTTCCTGTGTCCATGTGTTCTGATTATTCAACTCCCACTTATGAGTGAGAACATGTGGTGTTTGGTTTCTATTCCTGTGTTAGTTTGCTGAGGATAATGGTTTCCACCCTCATCCCTGTCCCTGCAAAGGACATGAACTCATTTCTTTTTTATGGCTACATAGTATTCCATAGTATGTATGTGCCACATTTTCTTTATCCAGTCTATCATTGATGGGCATTTAGGTTGCTTCAAAGTCTTTGCTATTGTAAATAGTGCTGCAATAATCATATGTGTGCATGTGTCTTGATAGTAGAATGATTTATAATCCTTTGGGTATATACCCAGTAATCACCCAGCACCTTTCGAAGCCCGCCCACAAACTATTCTCAATTTCTAGTCCAATCTCGGCAATCTACTTGGATGTCTGCGGCTTTGTAGCTGACCATCATCCAAACTCCTGCCTGAGCTCCAGGCAACATTCCTTGCATGGTCTGGCCAGCCTATTATCACAGTGACTAAGAATCCAGATTTGGGTCTCCTAGCTGGAGGACAAAGGACACCCGTGGGCTTTGGCTCTGGGGTGGATGACTGGACAGGACAGGGATGACGGCGGAGTCTCCAAGATGATGCCCAGGGAGCAATCAGAAGGGCTTCAAGGTCAGCAGCCAGGCCCGACATCCACAAGCAGCAGTGGCACGGCTCTTTCAAGAATGTCCCCAGTGAGCAAGGAGAGCTGTGCCCCCGGGCCTGCTCTTCGATGTCAGCCCATCTTCAGAGCCTTGATACCCAACCTTCCCAATATCATCTCAATAATTCTTTCTTCTGCTTAAATACACCAAAGCTCATTTCAGTAGATGACAACTGTGAAGTCCTTGTCAAGCTGTCATTAAACTAGAAACCGGACAGTCTACGTGATTCCAAAAAAGCAATGGACACTTCGATGCCCTTCTTGGCCCACAGGAGATCCCACTATGAGTCAGATCATAAAAACTAAATAACGGTGAAGCCACTTCTACAAAAAATGTGCCTCCTGGAGAGGCTCAGCCTTTGCGAAATGCCTGCAGCCCAGATCTGGAGGCTTCCACAGGCATGTACCACATTATACTACAGGTATTTTAGCCAAATTGCTTTTGATTTTTGAAATGTGCAGATTGCCTTTGTTGCAGGAACTGTTGGCATGAGGATGCATATTTGAGGCTTGTTAAGGACGCTCGTTACACAGGAGAGAGTGATGGAATTGTTCTAGCTGCGCAGGGAAGCACAGAGGCGAATGTGACTATCAGCTCCCGGAGCTTCCGTATCATTTCTTACGTACGGCACAGGACCTGAGGACTCAGGGTCCCCTCCACCTGCTTCTGAAAGAAAAGTCTTCATTTGGCTGTAGTTGAATAACCTCCCCTCGCCGAGACTCTTCTGTATGGCGAGGCTCGAAGCCGTTTCCAATTAACCTTTCCCAAGAATGCATAGGGGCCCAGCCAAGTGGGCCATTTGTGATTCTTTTCTTTAGCTGCTTTTACTGTGACCATCTCAGATAAGAGAAATGAATTGGAGCAATTCTACAGTGAGTCTTAGGATGGATTTTCTGTTACGAATAAAATTTGCTGTCAAGCTACTTTGGCAGCTCTGTTTTCATTAAAGGTCATTCAGAAAGTGGCTCCATGACAGCTACTGCCAGCCCCCTCCAGTCCCCCAGCGACTTCCAGCGCGGTTCACGCAGTGACACCTGGTGGCCAGAAGGTGTCCTTGCAATGAAGAGGCAAGAAAGTGTGTCCATGTATCTGCGTGTCTGTGTATCTGTGTGTCCACGTACATGTGTGTATCTGTATGCCTCTGTGTGTATATCTGTGTGTGCATGTGTGTGTCTGCACATCCATTTGTGTGTGTGTATGTCTAGGTATCTGTGTGCATATGTGTATCTGTACATATACGTCAGTGTGTTCATGTATGTATCTGTGTACCTGTGTGCATGTATGAATGCAGGTATGTATCTGCGTGCATGAGTGTATCTCTCTGTGTGTATGTATACATCTCCGTGTATATCTGTGTGTGCACATAATATATCTGTGTGCACGTGTGTGTGTCTGGGTTTCTGTGTGTGCATATATGTGTATCTGTGTATGTCTGTACATATATGTCTGCATGTTGACGTATATATCTGTGTGTATCTATGTGCACATGTGTGTATCTGTATGACTGTGTATCTGTCTGTGCACACACACATTTGTATGTATCTCTGTGTGAGTATGTATCTCTGTGTGCCAGTGTGTCCATATGTGTGTGTCTGGTTGTATCTGTGCACATGTCTATGTCTGTGGCATCTCGGAGTATGTGTGTGCACATCCATGCATGGAAGGAGGCTCATGGATGCCTGGAGGCTCAGCAGGTAAACGTCCTTTTGACACCCTCCAGTCATTTAACCTGCTTGGCTCTCCATGTCCAGTACTTTTTATTTTCTCTAGTCCCCAGTCTGGGACCCTGCTTTGTGTAGAGTAGATATGGTTAGCTGGCTAGTTTCCCCTTCTCTTCTAAGAAATTATGTGAAGTACTTAGGATAAAGTTTTGTCAAAATATTTCCCATACAAATGTACCACTAGCAGCTTCTACTTTTTTCCCAAACTCTCTTGTCCATAAGCAAAATGACAAATAACCCTCTGTGTCCTGGCCTACAATACAAAAGAGAGAAAACAAAACTTTCCCCCTTAATTTCAGTGGTGGCACACTCTCTGGCTTTTACCCAATTCTTCCACCAACCACCTCTTAGTCCACCACTAGGAATCAGCCCATCAGATTCCATTTCTTAAGCAACACACTGCTTTGCAGGGGGCTGTGGCTGCAGAAACAGAGAATAAGAGGGAACCGGCCTTGCTGCCAAGCCAGGTATTTGAAGTATTTTCTCTCTCTTTCATCAGTGACAGAGGCATTAGCTGTATTTTGCAGGTAAGGAAATCAAGATTAATCAGGTGAGCAGGTAAGCCCCATATATGAGATCTCACCTTGAGCACTGAAGGACAGGACAGAATTGAGAGCTGAGTCAAGAGACACACCAAACATTCAGAGGACAGAGAGATCACTGAGACTCCAGTAGCCAGGGAGTGGGGAAGTTGGAAGCTGAACTCAGAAAGAATCTGGCAAAAGTTACTGAAGGCAAAGAATGAGGAAAGTCCCCTATAAAAGGTGGTGGGACCTCTGTGAGAGACACCCAGCTGTGAATTTGACATGTGAGGGCTCAATAGGACCTGTCTAAACTGTAAACTGTGTATTAGCGAGTAGTGGAAAATAAGTTAAACTAGAGAAGGTCAGATTTTAGAGAGTGACAAAAAATTGGCAGGGGGAATTTACATCAGACGGGTGGAAAATGGAGAGCTATTGAAGGCTACTTACCAGGCTGTCAAATGAAGAAAATCTTTGTAAATATTTTCCCATTCAAGAAAAAAATGAAAACTTCTTACAACCTTAACTTGTTGGCATGGGCCCCCACCAACAGCATGTGTAAATCTATAAGACTCTATGTTAGTGCATCTTATAAGGAACTACATCCATCTGTGGTTACTTGGAACTCATAAATCATTTGATGTCATCCCCACATCAACAAAGCAGGGTAGAAGCAGAGCTCAAACTTGTCTTTATTCCCACAGTAAAAGCCACATACATTCGAGACTCCAACCAATATTTACTGAATGCCTGTTGTTTGCCCAGAACTCATGTAGATTCTGCTGAGATGGCCAAAACAGACATGATTGCTACCCTTAGGAAGCTTACCATCCAGCGAGAGAGAGGCTCAAAACCCACCCCCTAAACGCTAACGATTCATTCTGCACTGCACTATGGAGTAGGAGGGAAACACAACTTGTCCTGGTGAGCAGTCACAGGGGGACTAGGGGCTCACTCGAGGCAAGCGGTCTTAGAATCTTGCAGAGAAGATTCCTACTGAGGCCTGAAGGTGAGAAGGAGCCAGGGATGCAGGGGGCGGGAGAAAGAAAAGTCAAGAGAGAGGTTATTGGCCACAACTTGCTCCTAGCCCACGGGAAACAAAAAAACGGAAATTTGTTTTCTCCATCTTCCAGAACTCAACTCAGACATCCAGTCCTCCAAAACCTCATCCTAACCCTAGAGACAGTTAATTACCATCAACCCTCCTACCAGGAGGTGGTTAATCAAGTGCTTTCCGTGGGTGTATATTTCTTTACCCATCTGTTTCTCTAAGAGATTGTGAGCTTCACTTCATGAGAACAAGACCCTTTCTTCTCCAAAATGGCATCTGGCACCATAAATGTATGATGAATTGAGTTGGATCCAAAGTGCCTGCATGAGGTTTTCATTGCACCACATCAGTTTCACCCATCATAAATGCTTAAGCCCTGCTTCATCAGTTAGGATAAAATAAAATAAAATAAAATAAAATAAAATAAAATAAAATAAAATAAAATAAAATAAAATAATAAAATAAAATAAACAAAACACAATTCTGTGAAAAATCAACTTTATAGGCCAGGTTCACATCTGTAATCCCAGCATTTTGTGAGGCCGAGGTGGGTGGATCACCTAAGGTGAGGAGTTCGAGACCAGCCTGGCCAACACGGTGAAACCCCGTCTCTACTAAATTAGCCGGGTGTGGTAGCAGGCGCCTGTAATCCCAGCTACTCGGAAGGCTGAGGCTTGAACCCAGGAGATGGAGGTTGCAGTGAGCTGAGATGGCGCCACTGCACTCCAGCCTGGGCTACAGACTGAGACTCTGTCTCAAAAAAAAAAAAAAAAGACAGAAAAAGAAAAATCAACTTTACTTCTCTTTCTCTTTTTTAAACAAATTTTACATAGACAGGTGTATGTATTCATGCGGTACATGAGATGTTTTGATACAGACATGAAATGTGAAATCATCAAATCATGGAGAATGGGGTATCCATCCCTTTACGCATTTATCATTTGTGTTACGAACAATCCAATTACACTCTTTTTAGTTATTTTTAAACATACAATTAAGCTATTTTGACTATAGTTACCCTTTTATGCTATCAAATACTAAGTATTACTCATTCTTTCTACTTTTTTGCACCCATTAACTATCCCTGCCTCTCCCCAACTTCCCACTACACTTCCCAGCCTCTGGTACCCATTCTTCTCGTCTCTGTCTCCATGTGCTCAATTGTTTTGATTTTTATGTCCCACAAATAAGTGAGAATATACGATGTTTGTCTTTTTGTGCCTGCCCTATTTCACTTAATATAATGATCTCCAGTTCCATCCACGTTGTTGTAAACGACACAATCTCATTCTTTTTTATGACTGAATAGTACTCCATTGTGTCTAAGTACCACATTTTCTTTCTTCTTTTTAATCTTACTAAATTCCTTGATTGAGGATTCTAAAAACGAGTAATAATATAGATGGTCCCCAACTTACAATGGTTCTGCTTTTGATTTTTCAACTTTATAATGGTGGGAAATCAACACGTATTCCATAGAAACTGTACTTTGAGTTCCATACATCCACGCTGTTTTTCACTTTCAGTATAGTTTTCAATGAATTACAAGAGATATTCAACACTTTATTATTAAACTGACTTAGTGTCAGATAATTTTGCCCAACTGTTGGCTAATGTAAGTATTCTGAGCATGTTGAAGGTAAGCGAGACTATGCTATGATGTTTGGTAGGTTGAGTGTACTAAATGTATTTTGGACTTAAAATATTTCCAACGTGTGATGAGTTTATCAGGACATCACCCCATAATAGATCAAGTAGCGTCTCCAATGTGCAGCCTGTTTGGAGCACATTTGGAGAAACTGCAGAGGTAGGCTAGGAAAGGTAGGGAAGTCTAAGCTAGAAATAGTCATTTGGAGTAATGCAAAATCAAGTAATTATACAAAAAAGGTTCAAGGGTTTGGAGCAAAATCTATGTGTGTTTATTCATTTGTTTTTTTTAATGGTCTCAAAAAGAAGATACAATCAGGGGTAGGGTATCTCCTAAGTGTGCAAAGACACCCTCCGGGAGAAGAGAATCTACATGTGATGGGAGTGCCAGGGTGGCTCCCTTCTACTTCCTCACCTGCTGTCCAAGAATGAAATACCCAAGTACTCATCAGCCTTATTCAGCTGATTTAACTTGGAGTGAACAAACCAAAGCCATTCCTGTGACAGCTGTTCATGAGAAGGAGCAGAGAAGCCAGTTACTATGGAGGGAAATGCCCTTACTTTGAGTTCTACTACAGGTGGAGAAGTTAAAAGTCATCCTCGGCTGGTCACAGTGGGCTCACGCCTGAAATGCCAGCATTTTGAGAGGCCAAGACCAGTGGATCACCTGAGGTCAGGAGTTCAAGACCAGCCTGACCAACATGGAGAAACCCCGTCTCTGCTAAAAATACAAAATTAGCCAGGCAAGGTGGCACATGCCTGTAATTCCAGCTACTCAGGAGGCTGAGGCAGGATAATCACTTGAACCTGGGAGGCAGAGATTGCGGTGAGCTGAGATCACGCCACTGCACTTCAGCCTGGGTGATAAGAGCAAAACTCCATCTTAAAAAAAAAAAAAAAGTCATCCTTAAAATTAGGTCTTTATTGAAACTGAAAACTGATAGGCATCCATCATGAAGTTTCCAAATAGAACCACTGTGAGAATTTCCTTCCTTGCGCTGAAGGCAGTCTCCTCTGTTACTTAATGCTTATACTTGGCTGGTTTAACCACGAGACTCATTCTTGAAAAGAAAAATAATAACAATTGAAGCACACTAACCAAATGTCCATTAGGTTTGTGTGATGGTTAATATTTGGTGTCGACTTGACTGGATTGAGGGCTGCCTGACAGCTAGTAAAGCACTGTTTCTGGGTGTCAATGCAGAAGTTTCCAGACGACATTTCCAGAGGAAGACCTGCCCTCAGTGTGGGTGGTCACCAGCCCATCAGTTGGGACCCAACTGGAGCAACAGACAGGCAGAAGAAGGGGGGATTCACTCTGCTTTCCTTCTTCCAGAGGAAGAACCTTTTTCTCTTGCCCTTGGACATCAGACTCAAGGCTTTTCAGCTTTTGAACTCTGGAACTTGCACCAGACACCAAGATGGGGGCTCTTGGGCCTGGCTGGGGGCTTTACTCATGACTTCCCTAGTACACAGGTTTTGGGCTTGACCTCAGCCAGGCTATCGGCTTCTCTGATTCTGCAGTTTGCAAGTGGCCTATGGTGGGACTTCGCCTCTGATGGCATCGGCCAGGTCCCCTAATACATCTCCTTTTGTTGATCATACTGGCTCTGTCTCTCTGGAGAAACCTAACACAGTTTGATGACAGCTGAAGCCTGCTTTCCTAACACAAAGCAGGTTCTAATATTTCACAGGCACTCAGTAGGAATGTGTAGGATGAATGAATGAATTAATCAATGGACAAACGCCTGATGCAAATGCTGAGACCCTAGTGGCACCAAAGCTTTAATGAAAATTGGTTAGGAAACAAAAGCTGTTTCTTGACAGCAGCACTTGAAAAACTCTGCAGGTAAAAAATGAACTAACTAACCTTCATAACTAAGCCATAGCCCAACCCGCACAGGGCAGACCTGCCCCAGTTCCAGCTTCTGCCCTGAGCCCAGGCCCCAAGCTGCGGACTGACAGCTCCTGACCACATCCCTCCAGCCCAGGCTTCCCACTGTTGCTAATCTCCAGGCCGCCCATGGCTCCATGAGCTTTCTTAGCCTTTTCATCAGCTTTGTAACAAATTCCCTACATGAAATTTACATTGTTCCCAGAAATGGCACAACCAAGCATAGTCAACTATCAATTTTCCTAAGGCACTCATCTGCCCCACAGTTTATCTGCAGAAAATCTTGCTTTCAAATTCTTAGGAACCTAATTAAGCAAAATAGAAAAGAAAGATCTTTGTTGAGACCACCCACGATCTTGTGTTTGCATTTTCTGCTCCATGTATTCTTTAGTCCAACAAGTGATCTTTCAAACCAAAACACTTAATTACCTAATTATTTCCTCAAAACCTGGAGATACATGTATTAGAAATCCAGTGGAAAGAGAGAAGAGGATGGGGGTAACCTCTATAGAGCCCACGGTTCTGCCGCCATCTGAGAGCTGATATTATTTCCCGGATTTTAGAAGCCAGAAAAAGTTTAAACTGATAAAAACGTTAAATAAATTAGACAACTCTCATCTTCTTTTGAGTCAGATATTCATAATGTAGTTCATCATTTTTTAAGATTATGTGCCAACCCATAGTAGAAATGTTAATAAAAGCAGAAAGAACAGTGTTCAAAAAGTCCTCCTAGGCCTTGGTTATTTTGATTAGCTAGATAGTGCCTTCATAATTTTAACACCTATAATTCACTGAATTGATGATTATTTACATTTATTTCTAGTAAGAAACTACTACGTGAAAGCCCTGAGTTAATAAAATAAACCCTAATTTGTTATTTATCTGCAGATTCAAAATATTTAGATGTTCTAACATGAGGAACAGAGGGCTAGTTATATAACCCTGAATGGGGAAGAGACCTTTCTCTGGGAAGTCAGCCCCCTTAGACCTACAACTTCTCGAGATATGGCCATGAAGAGCCAAGGGGAAGAAGAGCTCTCACCCCATCTGCACTCATAGCTGGATAAACGCTGACAATCAATAAATGGCAGATGTCTTATGAGATTATACTCAGGTTACTAGTCAGATAAAACTGGAGACAAGACCAATTCTCCTGTGCCATCTTCCTCTATGGAGTGGTACACCAGTCAAGGGCCAAGTGAGTCACTGAAGACAGGGGTTGTCTGTCTGTTTAGGGAGCTTCAAACAAAGACTCCAACAGTTTTATGGACCTATAGTCAGGGGTAGGATTCAGAGTGGAAAGCACCAAGAACTGAGTAGCAACAGGGAAGGATGTCCTCAGTGATTCCTCCTCCAGCCTCCAGTGAGGGGCAGGAGCCTAAGGAAGTCAAATTGTCCCTGTTTGCAGATAAGATGACTGTATATTTAGAAAACCCCATTGTCTCAGCTCAACATCTCCTTAAGCTGATAAGCAACTTCAGCAAAGTCTCAGGATACAAAATCAATGTACAAAAATCACAAGCATTCCTATACATCAATAACAGACAAACAGAGAGCCAAATCATGAGTGAATTCCCATTCACAACTGCTTCAAAGAAAATAAAATACCTAGGAATCCAATTTACAAGGGATGTGAAGGACCTCTTCAAGGAGAACTACAAACCACTGCCCAGTGAGATAAAAGAGGACACAAACAAATGGAAGAGCATTCCATGCTCACGGATAGGAAGAATAAATATCACAAAAATGGCTATACTGCCCAAGGTAATTTAATGAGCACATGTTTAATAAGCATCTATTCCAACTAGGTCCTAGAGAAGTACAAGATTAAGAATTCAATATAGCCTGTAATCTCAGCACTTTGGGAGGCCAAGGTGGTTGGATCTCTTGAGCCCAGGAGTTGGAGACCAGCATGGACAACAGAGTGGACCCCAGCTCTACAAAAATTACCACAATTAGGCTGGTGTGGTGGCATGTGCCTCTGGTCCTAGATACTTAGGAGGCTGTGGTGGAAGGATCAATTGAGGCCAGGAGGTGGAGGGTGCAGTGAGCCCAGATTGCACTACTGCAGTCCAGTCTGGGCAACAGAGTGGGGCCTTGTCTCAAAAAAAAAAAAAAAAAAAAAAAAAAAAAAAAAAAAAAAAAGAATTCAAGATAAATTTTAAAAACTATACTAGTTAGGAAGAAAAGCATGTGGACAAGTGTTACCATCGATATATGTTCAATGTCGTAAGGGGGTACATAGGACCAGTGATATCTGCCATCTGAAAAGTCACGGGATAGTTCTCAAAGAGATACTTTAACTGGGTCTAATAAAATAATTGAGATATCAAATGCACATAAAACATTAGTGTGTGTGTGTGTGTGTGTGTGTGTGTGGTCTCTACTAGTGAGAGGTCCTGTGGTGGTAAGGAGCTTGGACCATAAAGCAGGTGGCCTGTACTCTAGTTCGCACTCTGTACATCTACTCCAGGTCCCCAGGCACATCACGTCCCCTCTCTGGATCTCTGTGCTGCAATAAACCATCAGGTGCATTTTATGTCTAAATAGTATGACTCACATGCTTCAATCTGACTTTGTTCTCCCCATCCCATCATCATCATTGCCCCTCTCAGGCCCTCCAGAACACCTGGCTGATTCTGGACAAGAATGAGAACAAGTATTAAACCACTGCACAGGAGGGTGACCAACCCCATTGCACCATATCCTCTAAGCCAGGACATTTGGTCAACTGACCAGACTGATCCCCGTCCTGGAGATGGCATGGTCAATGGCCATCGCTGCCCATACCTAGAGAGCACAGTCAGCAGAGGAAGGGGGATGGCTGCAAGTCATAGCCTTGTCCCTGTCCTCTACAGCTGGCAGGCACTTCAAGCGGGATCCGAGTGTGGCTAGAGTCTTCCATAAAACACCCACTTCATTGAAATCAGCAGCAGCTCTGTGTGGTGACCCTGGAGTTGCCTATCACCTCTTCCCCATAGGAAATGTCCATGTGTTTTCTTGCATCTCTTCTACCTCTACTCCTCAGTCTCTCTTTGTCTAATAGTTCCAATCTCTGTCTTTTTTTTTATTATACTTTAAGTTTTAGGGTACATGTGCACAATGTGCAGGTTTGTTACATATGTATACATGTGCCATGTTGGTGTGCTGCACCCATTAACTTGTCATTTAGCATTAGGTATATCTCCTAATGCTATCCCTCCCCCATCCCCCCACCCCACAACAGACCCCAGAGTGTGATGTTCCCCTTCTTGTGTCCATGTGTTCTCATTGTTCAATTCCCACCTATGAGTGAGAACATGTGGTGTTTGGTTTTTTGTCCTTGCGTTAGTTTGCTGAGAATGATGGTTTCCAGTTTCATCCATGTCCCTACAAAGGACATGAACTCTTCATTTTTTATGGCTGCATAGTATTCTATGGTGTATATGTGCCGCATTATCTTAATCCAGTCTATCATTGTTGGACATTTGGGTTGGTTCCAAGTCTTTCCTATTGTGAATAGTGACGCAATAAACATACGTGTGCATGTGTCTTTATAGCAGCATGATTTATAGTCCTTCGGGTATATACCCAGTAATGGGATGGCTGGGTCAAGTGGTATTTCTAGTTCTAGATCCCTGAGGAATCGCCACACTGACTTCAACAATGGTTGAACTAGTTTACAGTCCCACCAACAGTGTAAAAGTGTTCCTATTTCTCCACATCCTCTCCAGCACCTGTTGTTTCCTGACTTTTTAATGATTGCCATTCTAACTGGTGTGAAATGGTATCTCATTGTGGTTTTGATTTGCATTTCTCTGATGGCCAGTGATGATGAGCATTTTTTCATGTGTCTGTTGGCTGCCTAAATGTCTTCTTTTGAGAAGTGTCTGTTCATATCCTTTGCCCACTTTTTGATGGGGTTGTTTGTTTTTTTCTTGTAAATTTGTTTGAGTTCATTGTAGATTCTGGATATTAGCCCTTTGTCAGATGAGTAGGTTGCAAAAATTTTCTCCCATTTTGTAGGTTGCCTGTTCACTCTGATGGTAGTTTCTTTTGCTGTGCAGAAGATCTTTAGTTTAATTAGATCCCATTTGTCAATTTTGGCTTCTGTTGCCATTGCTTGTGGTGTTTTAGACATGAAGTCCTTGCCCATGCCTATGTCCTGAATGGTATTGCCTAGGTTTCTTCTAGGGTTTTTATGGTTTTAGGTCTAACATGTAAGTCTTTAATCCATCTTGAATTAATTTTTGTATAAGGTGTAAGGAAGGGATCCAGTTTCAGCTTTCTACATATGGCTAGCCAGTTTTCCCAGCACCATTTATTAAGTAGGGAATCCTTTCCCCATTGCTTGTTTTTGTCAGGTTTGTCAAAGATCAGATGGTGTAGATATGTGGCATTATTTCTGAGGGCTCTGTTCTGTTCCATTGGTCTATATCTCTGTTTTAGTACCAGTACCATACTGTTTTGGTTACTGCAGCCTTGTAGTACAGTTTGAAGTCAGGTAGTGTGATGCCTCCAGCTTTATTCTTTTGTCTTAGGATTGACTTGGCGACACAGGCTCTTTTTTGGTTCCATATGAACTTTAAAGTAGTTTTTTCTAATTCTGTGAAGAAAGTCATTGGTAGCTTGATGGGGATGGCATTGAATCTATAAATTACCTTGGGCAGTATGGCCACTTTCAGGATATTGATTCTTCCTACCCATGAGCATGGAATGTTCTTCCATTTGTTTGTATCCTCTTTTATTTCATCGAGCAGTGGTTTGTAGTTCTCCTTGAACAGGTCCTTCACTTTCATTGTAAGTTGGATTCCTAGGTATTTTATTCTCTTTGAAGCAATTGAGAATGGGAGTTCACTCATGATTTGGCTCTCTGTTTGTCTGTTATTGGTGTATAAGAATGCTTGATTTTTGTACATTGATTTTGTATCCTGAGAATTTGCTGAAGTTGCTTATCAGCTTAAGGAGATTTTGGGCTGAGACGATGGGGTTTTCTACATGTATAATCATCTCATCTGCAAACAGGGACAATTTGACTTCCTCTTTTCCTAATTGAATACGCTTTATTTCCACCTCCTGCCTAATTGCCCTGGCCAGAACTTCCAACACTATGTTCAATAGGAGTGGTGAGAGAGGGCATCCCTGTCCTGTACCAGTTTTCAAAGGGAATGCTCCCAGTTTTTGTCCATTCAGTATGATATTGGCTGTGGGTTTGTCATAGATAGCTCTTATTATTTTGAGATACGTCCCATCAATACCTAATTTATTGAGAGTCTTTAGCATGAAGGGTTGTTGAATTTTGTCAAAGGCCTTTTCTGCATCTATTGAGATAATCATGTGGTTTTTGTCTTTAGTTCTGTTTATATGCTGGATTACATTTATTGATTTGCATATGTTGAACCAGCCTTGCATCCCAGGGATGAAGCCCACTTGATCATGGTGAATAAGCTTTTTGATGTGCTGCTGGATTCGGTTTGCCAGTATTTTATTGAGGATTTTTGCATCAATGTTCATCAAGGATATTGGTCTAAAATTCTCTTTTTTGGTTGTGTCTCTGCTAGGCTTTGGTATCAGGATGATGCTAGCCTCATAAAATGAGTTAGGGAGGATTCCCTCTTTTTCTATTGATTGGAATAGTTTCAGAAGGAATGGTACCAGTTCCTCCTTGTACCTCTGGTGGAATTTGGCTGTGAATCCGTCTGGTTCTGGACTTTTTTTTGGTTGGTAAGCTATTGATTATTGCCACATTTGAGAACCTGTTATTGATCTATTCAGAGATTCAACTTCTTCCTGGTTTAGTCTTGGGAGGGTGTATGGGTCAAGGAATTTATCCATTTCTTCTAGATTTTCTAGTTTATTTGTGTAGAGGTGTTTGTAGTATTCTCTGATGGTAGTTTGTATTTCTATGGGACTGGTGGTGATATCCCCTTTATCATTTCTTATTGTGTCTATCTGATTCTTCTCTCTTTTCTTCTTTATTAGTCTTGCTAGCGGTCTATCAATTTTGTTGATCTTTTCAAAAAACCAGCTCCTGGATTCATTAATTTTTTGAGGGGTTTTTTGTGTCTGTATTTCCTTCAGTTCTGCTCTGATTTTAGTTATTTCTTGCCTCCTGCTAGCTTTTGAATGTGTTTGCTCTTGCTTTTCTAGTTCTTTTAATTGTGACATTAGGGTGTCGATTTTGGATCTTTCCTGCTTTCTCTTGTGGGCATTTAGTGCTATAAATTTCCCTCTACACACTGCTTTGAATGTGTCCCAGAGATTCTGGTATGTTGTGTCTTTGCTCGTTGGTTTCAAAGAACATCTTTATTTCTGCCTTCATTTCGTTATGTACCCAGTAGTCATTCAGGAGCAGGTTGTTCAGTTTCCATGTAGTTGAGCGGTTTTGAGTGAGTTTCTTAGTCCTGAGTTCTAGTTTGATTACACTGTGGTCTGAGAGACAGTTTGTTATAATTTCTGTTCTCTTACATTTGCTAAGGAGTGCTTTACTTCCAACTGTGTGGTCAATTTTGGAATAGGTGTGGTGTGGTGCTGAAAACAATGTATATTCTGTTGATTTGGGGTGGAGAGTTCTGTAGATGTCTATTAGGTCCGCTTGGTGCAGAGCTGAGTTCAATTCCTGGGTATCCTTGTTAACTTTCTGTCTCGTTGATCTGTCTAATGTTGACAGTGGGGTGTTAAAGTCCCCCATTATTATTGTGTGGGAGTCTAAGTCTCTTTGTAGGTCACTAAGGACTTGCTTTATGAATCTTGGTGCTCCTGTATTGGATGCATATATATTTAGGATAGTTAGCTCTTCTTGTCGAATTGATCCCTTTACCATTATGTAATGGCCTTGTTTGTCTCTTTTGATCTTTGTTGGCTTAAAGTCTGTTTTATCAGAGACTAGGATTGCAACCCCTGCCTTTTTTTATTTTCTATTTGCTTGGTAGATCTTCCTCCATCCCTTTATTTTGAGCCTATGTGTGTCTCTGCACATGAGATGGGTTTCCTGAATACAGCACACCGATGGTTCTTGACTCTTTATCCAATTTGCCAGTCTGTGTCTTTTAATTGGAGCATTTAGCCCATTTACATTTAAAGTTAATATTGTTATGTGTGAATTTGGTCCTGTCATTATGATGTTAGCTGGTTATTTTGCTCGTCAGTTGATGCAGTTTTCTTCCTAGCCTTGATGGTCTTTACATTTTGGCATGTGATTGCTGTGGCTGGTACCAGTTGTTCCTTTCCATGTTTAGTGTTTCCTTCAGGAGCTCTTTTAGGGCAGGCCTGGTGGTGACAAAATCTCTCAGCATTTGCTTGTCTGTAAAGCATTTTATTTCTCCTTCACTTATGAAGCTTAGTTTGGCTGGATATGAAATTCTGGGTTGAAAATTCTTTTCTTTAAGAATGTTGAATATTGTCCCCCAATGTCTCCTGGCTGGTAGAGTTTCTGCTGAGAGATCCGCTGTTACTCTGATGGGCTTCCCTTTGTGGGCAACCCAACCTTTCTCTCTGGCTGCCCTTAACATTTTTTCTTTCATTTCAACTTTGGTGAAACTGACAATTATGTGTCTTGGAGTTGCTCTTCTCGAGGAGTAGCTTTGTGGCGTTCTCTGTATTTCCTGAATCTGAATGTTTGCCTGCCTTGCTAGATTGGGGAAGTTCTCCTGGATAATATCCTACAGAGTGTTTTCCAACTTGGTTCCATTCTCTCCGTCACTTTCAGGTACACCAATCAGACATAGAATTGGTCTTTTCACATAGTCCCATATTTCTTGGAGGCTTTGTTCATTTCTTTTTATTCTTTTTTCTCTAAACTTCCCTTCTCACTTCATTTCATTCATTTCATCTTCCATCACTGACACCCTTTCTTCCAGTTGATCGCATCAGCTCCTCAGGCTTCTGCATTCTTCACATAGTTCTCCAGCCTTGGCTTTCAGCTCCATCAGCTCCTTTAAGGACTTCTCTGCCTTGGTTATTCTAGTTATCCATTTGTCTAATTTTTTTTCAAGTTTTTAACTTCTTTGCCATTGGTTTTAATTTCCTCCTGTAGCTCAGAGTAGTTTGATCATCTGAAGCCTTCTTCTCTCAGCTCGTCAAAGCCATTCTCCATCCAGCTTTGTTCCATTGCTGGTGAGGAGCTGTGTTCCTTTGGAGGAGGAGAAGCGCTCTGCTTTTTAGAGTTTCCAGTTTCTCTGCTCTGTTTTTTCCCCATCTTTGTGGCTTTATCTACCTTTGGTCTTTCATGATGGTGACGTACAGAAGGGTGTTTGGTGTGGATGTCCTTTCTGTTTGTTAGCTTTCCTTCTAACAGAGAGGACCCTCAGCTGCCGGTCTGTTGGAGTTTGCTAGAGGTCCACTCCAGACCATTTGTCTGGGTATCAGCAGCGGTGGCTGCAGAACAGCGGTGGCTGTAGAACAGCGGATCTTGGTGAACCGCAAATGCTGCTGCCTGATCGTTCCTCTGGAAGTTTTGTCTCAGAGGAGTACTCGGCCGTGTGAGGTGTCAGTCTGCCCCTACTTGGGGGTGCCTCCCAGTTAGGCTGCTCGGGGGTCAAGGACCCACTTGAGGAGGCAGTCTGCCCATTCTCAGATCTCCAGCTGTGTGCTGGGAGAACCACTACTCTCTTCAAAGCTGTCAGACAGGGACATTTAAGTCTGCAGAGGTTACTACTGTCCTTTTGTTTGTCTGTGCCCTGCCCCCAGAAGTGGAGCCTACAGAGGCAGGCAGGCCTCCTCAGCTGTGGTGGGCTCCACCCACTTCAAGCTTCCCGGTTGCTTTGTTTGCCTAATCAAGCCTGGGCAATGGCAGGCGCCCCTCCCCCAGCCTCGCTGCCACCTTGCAGTTTGATCTCAGACTGCTGGGCTAGCAATCAGGGAGACTCTGTGGGCGCAGGACCCTCTGAGCCAGGTGCGGGATATAATCTCCTAGTGCGCCGTTTTTTAAGCCTGTTGGAAAAGCACAGTATTAGGGTGGGAGTGACCCGATTTTCCAGGTGCCGTCTGTCACCCCTTTCTTTGACTAGGAAGGGAACTCCCTGACCCCTTGCACTTCCCGAGTGAGGCAATGCCTCGCCCTGCTTCGGCTCACGCACGGTGCGCTGCACGCACTGTCCTGCACCCGCTGTCTGGCACTCCCTAGGGAGATGAACCTGGTACCTCAGATGGAAATGCAGAAATCACCTGTCTTCTGCGTCGCTCATGCTGGCAGCTGTAGATCGGCAAACTCCGTCTTTTCTATCCGCTTTCAAAGCTCTCCAAAAATATTCTCACCCTGGCCAGATGCAGTGGCTCATGACTGCTATCCCAGGACTTTGGTAGGCAAAGGCAGGAGGATAGCTTGAGCCCAGGAGTTTAAGACCAGCCTGGGCAATACAGCAGAATCCCATCTCTACAAAGATAAAAATATTAGCTGATTGTAGTGGTGCACACCTGTAGTGTCAGCTATTTGGGAGGCTGAGGTGGGAAGATCGTTCGAGCCCAGGAGGTTAAGCCTGCAGGGAGCCACAGTTGTACCACTGCTCTCCAGCCTGGGTGACAAAGTGAGACCTTGTCTCTAAAAACCACAACAACAACAAAAATCTACCTTCACCCCCCACATCCAGCGCCCAACTATGTTTGAATGCTCCTTAAATCTTTATGGTTAATCTAATGCTGCTTCTCTATCTGCCATTCTCTGCTTATACTTCAAAAGTAAAATAATGAAGCTTCTTTCTGACTCAACCCATTTTTCTATCAGACTTTGTATCTCCCTCTTCTCAATGTCTGCTAACGTGTCTGGCAGTATAACAGGCATTTTACATAAGCAATGTTATTTCTTCTGTACAACAACCCTATGGTGGTTTTTTAAAGCAGCAAACAGTACATGAAATGTTAAGGGTCTTACCCAAGTTCTTACTGATAGCAATTGACAAATTTTAGAAATTGAGCAAGTGTCTGTAAGGTTCTGAATTCAAGTCATTGCACTATGGTGTTTTGGTACTTTTAAAAAGTCTCCAAAGAAAATTACTTTATTTTTCCTTTATATTATAATAATATGTGGTCCCTTTTCAGCCCAGTTACTGTAAACTCCTGAGACCTGAGACATTGCCATATTCATTTCTATACCCCATAGAGCTTTGTACAGCCCTGGGCATATAGTGAATGGTTAATATTTGTTCAATTGAAATTATCTAAAGCATGTTCCAACTTCTAGTTCCTAAAAAGCCTGAGATTTTACAGACAGGAGGTTAATGATCCTTGTTTTGTTTCTGTTTGGACGAGAAAAAGTTACCATGCCGTTGAGCTGGTGAAGGCTGTCCCAGAGGGTAGGGCCAACCTTAGTATAGTACTGAACTCCAGTGCTGCTCCACTTCTTATGACAGCTGTTGGCATCTTTTTGCATCTACTGTTGACAGTTATCATAAATAATGTGAATCTTCATCTAGTTCAGTGTCTAATTCATATCTTGCTAATGGCAACAAATAAATGACCTGTGCAGGAATCTGGCATAACCCTTCAGCTGGTGTGCCTAGATCTGGTTGGCTTTGCTGCGAACATGTGCTTTGTTGCTGAGAACAATTTGGGAGTGTTAGGGACACTAGGCAAGGCTTGAATCATCAGCTGTACAAAAGACAGTGAAATTCAAAGCCCAAACACAGATAACGTTTCCTCAGATGTTCCATCATTTCAAGGTAAGCTGGAGCTGAAGAATTTTGAAATATGATGTCAGACACAAGCAAAAGGAAGAGGACTATGTGTACAGAGACTGAAAACTTGCATTCTATTATAAAATTATTTAACTAGTTAATTAACTCAAGGCTAAGCAATTCTGGGCAGGGTCTTCCTCCTCTGTTTCCCTAAATGTCAAGGAGGGAAAAAAAAATTGAATCTGTTGCTCTGTTTCTGCAAGTGTCGAAATGAAATATTAAATCTCCTGCTTCTAGGCTCTCTCTAGCTCTTATAGTTTGTTACTCCCATCTCTGACCAGATCATATCAAATATTTCTAAATAATGAGATAGACAGCGTGACCAAGGAGCAAAGCCCCTTTGAAGGTTTCCTACACCCATTTATTCCCTGTTAAATGTTATGTTCAAACAATATTTAGCTGTATAACATAAAATGCTTTCATTTCTGCCCCTAAAGTTGGGCAAATTTGACTGTCTCTGCTTATGCTGGGGATGAATGGCCGAGAAGTGTCTCCACAGTGTCAGTGTGGCCTCTTCAGGAAAGGGGTAGGTCCTTTCCATCACAGAGGAAGAGGTATTCTCTAACTGTTTTCCACAGGACAGAGATTAAGATGTTGGTTACATCCTCCCATAGCCTCCCCAGAGATGAATCCCCTCAGATTCTGCCTAAGCAAAATCTGCTACAGGAATACTATTACACCTCAAACAAAGACAAATATATTCAATAAGTGAACTCTCAGAATCCATAAAATAGACAAAGTCCAAGCATAGAGACATGTTACAAGAAGGTGGTGCAGTGAACTTTAGGATTTTTTGAGTAAGGACAATGGATTACATATTAAGTTTTCTAATCCTCAAAAAAGAAAATAATCAGTACTGGTGCTAGGTAAATTTCACGCCCACCAGGAGATTTTTTTTAAGGATCCCCACAATATATTCTAGAATCTTATTAGTAAAAGAAACTACAATAAATATACACATATGAGGTTGTATTAATTAAAAATGTATTCTGTTTATTGCATTTACAGAAAGATAATTAGCAGCTGTACGCCTAAAAAAAAAAAAATGGAGCATAAGCATAAGTGGTCACCATATCATCCTTTTCTTTTTTTTTTTTTTTTTCTTTTTTTGAGATGGAGTCTCACTCTTGTTGCCCAGGCTGGAGTGCAATGGCACGATCTTGGCTCAACGCAACCTCTGCCTCTGAGGCCTCCAGCGATTCTCCTGCCTCAGCCTCCTGAGTAGCTGGGATTACATGCATGCACCACCTTGCCACGCTAATTTTGTTTTTTTAGTAGAGACAGGGTTTCTCCATGTTGGTCAGGCTGGTCTTGAACTCCCAACCTCAGGTTATCCACCTGCCTCAGCCTCCCAGAGCTCTGGGATTACAGGTGTGAGCCACTGCGCCTGGCCCATGTCATCCTTTTCTACAAGTACTTGGAAAGTGACTTTCCACTCAAACAGAGGATTTAAGACTGACCACTTCCTTCCAGTCTGAGTAAGAACCCAGTGCTTATAGATGGATTACAGTTACAGAGAAAATTATCTACCATTTATCTCTAAGGAGAAAAAACATGAAATGCTTCTCAAACAGTGCATTTTTGCATTTTGAAACTTCGGTGCTGCAATTCCTTGGCTCAAAGTATTTTAGTGAGAAGAATGTTGTTTCTGGTTTGGAAGCATCACCTATTGAACAGTATCAGAAGGATAAAAAACTGGCTTTGTTGTAACTGGTTGTTCTATAGCAGCAGGCGTCAGGTTCAATTAATAGAGACCTAGCTTGAGAGCACGGGCACAATCTATATCATTATAATCTACCTGAAGCCTAAAGAAAACAGTGTCTAACTATTTCTAGAGGAGAAGGCTTTTCTTCGCTGACTTACCCTATAACATCCTGCAACATATTGAGTGGAGCTTATTAAGTACACTGCAAATACCTCATCTGCAAGCCATCTGCTTTTCAAGTGCAAATGCACTGTTCATAAGAAAACAGTGCCAAGTAGCTTTCTAACTTTTACTTCTAGGTTTCCCAAGAGCTATCCAAAACTATGACTTTTCCTCTACCTGCTAACTCTTGTATCTAAATTGTTTTTAGAGACTTCTTATGAGGAATTTTAAAACATGCTTTAGTTTTTACATCAGAAACACTCCAGAAGTTTCCCACCTCCTCCTTCCATCTCCTTAATAGGCATTAGGTTTCAAATGGATTAAACGTGGAGGTTTGATTTAATCAAATTGTTTCCTCTTGGTGTTTGGAAAATAACCAAGCAGTTTCAATGGTGAATCAATGCAATACCACCTTAGAGCCACTTACAAAATCAAAACATATTTGTGCATCTGAATTCTTCACTGGCAGAGAACAGCTTGTACCCTCTCTATCGATTAGGTCCCTGTTACTATTGATTAAAACAAAAAACCACAGAGAATCACAACTTTCAGAAGGTTAGGGAGAATGGTATGCTTGACTCAGCATTCTAAATCAGATCAAACAAAGTATCCGACCTACTGAGGAGATGCAGAATTTGGACTAGTCGCTGATGTCAAATTCAGTTTAGAGACCATTTTGTCAGAGTTCCCTATGAGCCAAACTTAATAGCAAATAGAAAAACAAATTCACCCACAATATGCTTCTGGAGGACAATGAATCCAGCAGCAATGGGGTTGTGCTGGCTGCACTTTAATGCTGTTAGCTGCTTCATGGTCAAATTGAATACTAGTGGGACGAACTGCTGACACACAACATATGCCCCAGAAGCTGACTGCTGGAATGAAAGGAGCTCTAGCTAGACGACTAGGAAAATCAGGAAACAAGTGACAGCTCAAGTTGAAACAAAGTTTCATGTGGTCAGACCACCTGTGGGACAAGCTGATGTATTTATTATTGTCCAGAGAATCGCTGGATTTTACAGCTGCCAAGAGCTTCAGCAATCACGACCTACTTCTCAACATTTTTTACTGTTTTCTTTTCCTACATTTGTCCATTAAAATATGTCCTTTGCTAGTTTCTGTCCTGGGTTCTTAATTCATAAGCACTCTTCCTTGGTAACTTTAGCACTCTTACATGGATGACTCTCAAATGTTTATATCCAGCCCTGACCTTGCTCCTGAGCCTGCAATCTCAAACATTAAACAGCCTTCTCGATATCTGCTTAGTGATGCCTCAGTAGCACATTTAATTCAATGGGGTGAATGAAAACCAGCTCACTCTCTTGCCAAGTAAGCCCTTGCTTTACTCTCTCATTACATGAGTTAGTAACAGCCCCATGCTGCAGCCTCCTGGCTCAACCATCACAGTGTCTAGCCATCTGTCTCTCTTGCTCATGCTGCCTCTGCAATACTGCCCCAAGGTCCCCTCCTGGCCATGTCCTCACGATGCCCCGGTGGAGGCCTGAGACCCTCACCTGGGTCACTGCCATAATCACGCTCTGACATCTTCTACTACCCAGCCCTCTGCACCCTCTGGACAGTTATTTTTCTAGAACACAGCTCAGTTCTGATTGTGTCACTTCTCTGGCTGCAAAACTCAATGTTTCCTCCTTGCTTCGTAGATTCAAATCCAGATTTCTCAAAATGACAATTACCGGTGCCCATCATCTGACCTCAGTCTCCTTTCTTGCCTTATATCCCACTCCATCCCTGACATCCCCAGTTTCTCTCCTCCCCTTGGGCCTTACATGGGGCTTCTTAGAGAGGCCAAAATACAGGAATCTGGACCAACAATGCACGGGAAAGACAAGACAAATCCATTCTAAATATACAAATAAATTTTCCATCATTAACACAAAAATAATTGAAAAAAATTAAAATTTAACCAAGATTACATTTTCATTTATCAAATTGGCAAAAATCCAAAAATATGGTAACATGCTCTGTTAGCGAAGCTGTAAGGAAAGAGGTATCCTCAAGCACTGCTGGTGGCAGCATACATCGGTAAATTTTTCGAAGGCAATTTCGACACGTCTGTCAACATTTTAAGTGCACTTGCATATGGTGATTGCTTGGGAAGAATGGCCACAGTACTTCAGCCTTTCCTGCCCTCATCCCTCTGTGAGGTGCATTAGTCCATTTTCTCACTGCTATAAAGAACTACCCCAGACTGGGTAATTTATTAAAAAAAGAGGTTTAACTGACTCACACTTCCACATGGCTGGAGAGGCCTCAGGAAAGTCACAATCACAGTGAAAGGTGATGGGGAAGCAAGGCACGTCTTACGTGGTGGCAGGGAAGGGAGAAAGAGAGAGGAGAGAGAGACCGAGGGGGGAAACTGCCACACACTTTTAAACCATCAGATCTCGTGAAAACTCACCAACTATCACTATCATGGGAGGGGAATGTCCCCCATGATCCAATTACCCCCCACCAGGTCCTTCCTTCAACACTTGGGGATTTCAATTCAAAATGAGATTTGGGTGGGGACACAGAGCCAAACCATATCATAATGAAACACTGTCATTCATCTGAGGTAATATCTGAGGTTCATTGCCTCATGCCAAGGATATAAAGGATGTGGACACACAAGGAGTGAGGTTAAGTAGAGGTTTAATAGACGAAAGAAAGAGAAAAGCTCTCTCTCCTGCAGAAAGAGAGGGGCTCCAAGTGGGTCTTCTGGTCCATGGTGAAGTGCAGGAGTTTTTATAGATGAGCTTGAGGAGGCAGTGTCTGATTTACATAGGACACAAGAGATTGGTTGGGCCAGGTGTGCCATTTGCATAGCATGTAAAGAAACTTGTGGCCGCACCCTAATCTTTTATTATGCAGATGGGTTCTCTACTGCCATGTTGCCCACTCTTTCACTGTTCTCATGGTGACAAAGAAAAGAGAAGATGGAGCCTCCATGTTGAACATACCTGGCTTCCAGGTAACCCGTGGCACAGATGTCAGCATTCACACGTTCAAGTTTCCAGCTTGCTTATCTATGTTTGCAACCCAATTTTTCAGGCTGCTTTTTGTTAGAAAAGAAATGATTTGGGGGCTGCCTTTTGTTAAATGGGAAATTCTGCCAAGGACTCTCTTACCCTCACTATCTGCCTAAATAATTTCCTTTTAGCTCTTATATCAATAAGTGGACACTGCATGAATACAGTGTGAGTCCTATTGTGTGACTGCCTTTAAGATGGAATCTATTTCCCCTCCTCTTGAATCTGGGCTGGTCTTGTGATTATCTCTGGCTAGTGGAAGGCAGTGGTGTTCCAGTTTTGCGGCTGGATCTCAAGATGTCCTGGGTGCTTCTGCTCTCTCTGGACCCTGCCTTCTCTGTATGAACAAGCCCCAACTAGCCTGCTAGAGGATGATCAGCACATAGTCCAGTTATCTCTGTCTTTCCAGCCAACAGACACCCAACCAACCAACCACCAGATGTATGGGAGAGAACATCTTAGACTTGCCAATCCCAAGCCAATTTATCAGTTGCCTGTAGGGACCGACCAAGCCCAGCCAATCTCAATGAAGCTTTGCCCATATCTGCAGAACCACCCTGTAAATAAATCTACAGACCTATAGATTTATTAATAATAAACACTAAGTCCTTATTGTTTTAAGTCGTCAAGTTTTGAGGTAGCTGTTTATGCATAAATAGCAAACTGATATACCCATTGAGGGAGAAATTCTGCTTCTAGAAATTTGTTGTACAGAAAAACTTGCACAACTACAATATTACCATAGCTAAGGTTATTCACTGAAGCTTGTTTGTAACTTCAAAACAAAAGTAGTTTGGAAGCATCAATAGAGATCCGTTCATTAAATTATGGTATACCCATACAACGGACTGCAATAAAACTGTGGAATCAGTTTCCACAAGGAAGGCTCTGGGTGAACTCACATAGAATATCTTCCAAGATTTACTAGCATTTGCAAGCTAGTTTACTTGGCAAAGTTTATGACAAGCTACCATCTATATGAAAAATAATAAAGCAATAAATGTGTGTTTCATTGTATATACAAATAAATTATTTGAAAAGATACCCAAGAAACTGAAATTTTTACTTGCCTCTTGGAAAATAAATGGAGTGACTAGAAACAAGAGTAATAAAGATAATTTTTACTATATTTTTTCTATCTTTTGAACACTAACCCAGGTTAACATATTACCTGTTTAAAAAATAAATATTTATTTTAAGTAGGACAAAACACTTTGTACTTGGCTATATCTGGTCACTTAACAACATAGTTATCTCTGCCTGGATAGGACTTACGATTTTGTTAAGAAATTGTTTAATTAATAATAATTTAAAAATGTGGCCCCTACTAAAACCACAGAAATTGGCAGGAACTTTTAACATCCTCTGGTGCCACGCTTGTCTCAATGCACATCCAAGCTATCTGGTCACAGGGCCTCTGCTGGACCCTCCACTGTAAGAGGGAGCTCTTTATAACACCCTGGTAAAAGAACTGAAAGAGAAATGCATGTTTGTAAAAAACAAGTAATTTTATTAAAGTTATTTCCTTACAGAAAGAGCATTGTGGATGAAGACAATGTCACTGCACTACTTTTTAATTGTGAAGAAATCACCACTGATCAGAGGAGAGTTAAATAAATATTGTTACATCTAAAGAATGAAACAGTGTGTAATTTTTAACACCATGGAAAACAGTATACCATTATATAAAATACAAAAGATAAAGGTACAAAATTGTCTATCCAGTAAGCTATCAACTACATGAAAAGAAAAAAATCCTTGAAGAAAGAAAAAAGGAAGACCTAAAAAGAAATATAGCAATATAGTGGCAGGAATTGTTCATATTTGTTTCTTCTCTTCCTACTTTGTATTAATTCCTAAATTTTCTATAACATTTATACAATATTTTTAAATTAATATATAGTAAAAATGATAAACATAAAGTAAGTTTGCCAACAATCTATTATGTCTGATTACAGGATATAAAGAAGTAAATAAGAAATAACATTAATCATAATAATCAAGTATGCTAAATCCTTTAACAAACAAGCTCAACACCTAAAAAAGATTTTTTTGTGCCCACTTACAGTTCAGCACAGGTAGCGAGGAGGCTCTCTGCTCCATGAAGTGACTGAGGAACCAGGCTCCTTGCAGCTCCCAGCTCTACCTTACTCTTAGAGTAAGGTCCTGAGAGTGTTCTTCATCCCCCTCCTGGAATAGGAAACAGCAGGAGGAGTACATTTGGAAGTGTGTTACAGCTCAGGCCTGGATGCAGCCTGAATCAACCGGGCCACACTCCATGGCTAGAGTTCAGCACGTGGTCTCATCTAACTGTAAGGGACACTGACCAAGTCCTGTAGCTGTGTGCCTAGAGAAAGAAACAGCAGCCATGGCAGACTTTGAGCCAGTCTCTGACATGATCATTGAAAGGTTCATAGAAAAAGAGAACTTTAAGCTATTTCTTAAAAGTTGGGAAAGACATAAATTGGGGAAAAATAGGAAAGAAGATTGGCTGGATAGCTTGGCATGAGAAGGGCAGAGAAAGATAATTAGGTAAATCACTTTCAAGAGAACAAAGAAAAGAAAAAAGAGCCATTAGAAGACCAACCTTGATATTTCGTACTTTTCATCAAAGTTAGAAAAATTTGCTTTAGCATCTAGCAGGACTGTGTTCCACTTTTAACTCTACCTCTCTGTCTCTGCATGGTCTTGGACAAATTATGTATCAAAACCTAGAATTCTTGAGTGTAAAATGAAGGTAATAATGCCCAGCTTACAATATTATGGTAGAATGTTAATAAAATACATAGGAATAATTCAACAAATGAGAGACCTTGCCATTAGGCATTTTCATAGTGCAGAGTCAATTCTGATTCACAATTTTTCTAAATGTTTAGGACATATTCCTCATTCATCACTCTCTACTTTAAACAATAAAGAAACCAGGACAAAAAATAATAATTACTTTTACACTTCATAAACTAAAAGGTGAATTACTAAGCACATAAAATGAACATGCTTGACTTACTAATTTAAATAATGGCTGAATCAGATAATAATTACGAATGTATTTATTCTACTTACATTACATGGTTTCATGCAATTGAATTACCACTTCTTTAATTAAGGGATTTCAGTATTTCTTAGTTTTGATCATTTATTAGCACAACATAAGACTAACGGGACAACAAAAGAAATTCTCACCGGCTCTTAGGAGCTTTCACAATGTCAAACAACACGGGAAACATCAGAAAAAAAGAGGGAACTCATTCTAAAATATTTGCTTACTATAACTTTTGCCATTTAAACTCACATCATCAGTTCTATTTCATGACTTCTTGTCATCAAATGTTTTTTACTTTTTCTGATGCTTCATTTTGACCATTCTCAGAGACTCTGGGAATCAAAACTTTCTGGGCCCCAGTCAGATGGTAATAAATACTTCTGCCTTTTCCCTGACTGATGCCTTCTGCTAGGGACTGTATTAGTCTGTTTTGATGCTGCTGATAAAGACACACCCCAGACTGGGTAATTTATAAAGAAAAAGAGCTTTAATGGATTCTCAGTTCCAAGTAGCTGGGGAGGCCTTATCATCCTGGCAGAAAGTAAAGGTACATCTTTCTTGTTTGCAGGCAAGAGAGAACTTGTGCAGGGAAACTCCCCTTTATAAAACCATCAGATCTCAGGAGACTTACTCACTATCACAAGAACACCATGGGGAAGACCTGCCCCCATGATTCAATTACCTCCCACCTGGTCCCTCCCACAACACGTGGGAATTGTGGGAGCTACAGTTCAAGACGAGATTTGGGTGGGGACACAGTCAAACCATATCAGGGACTTCACCACCTGCTCCATGCCTAGTGCTGTGGTGGACCCTGGGGAGCAAAGATGAAAACCCTGATTCTCTGCCTCCGTGATCGCACCCAGGGAAGGGGACTCAGGCGGCTATAAATCAATGTTGGTGATACCTTGTATGCAGTCAAGGGTCTGACCCAACCTCAGGTAATTAGGGAACTTTTCTCTTTGATTTCTTGTAAGTACAGTATTTATGCCTTGCTGTTTGTGCAACAGTAACAAAAACCTGAAACTGGGTAATTTGTTTGTTTTCGAGATGGAGTCTCCCTCTGTCGCCAGACTGGAGTGCAGTAGCACGATCTCAGCTCACTGCAACCTCCTTCTCCCGGGTTCAAGTGATTCTCCTGCCTCAGCCTCCCGAGTAGCTGGGACTACAGGTGCGCGCCACCATGCCTGGCTAATTTTTGTATTTTTAGTAGAGACAGGGTTTCACCATGTTGGCCAGGATGGTCTCAATCTCTTCACCTCATGATCTGCCCACCTCAGCCTCCCAAAGTGCTGGGGTTACAGGCATGAGCCACCACACCCGGCCGAAACTGGGTAATTTGTAAAGAAGAGAAACACATCTCTCACAGTTCCGAAAGCTGGGAGTCCAAGATCAAGGCCTTGATAGGTTCATTGTCTGGTGAGGGCCCATCTCTCCCTCCAAGATGCTGTCTTGTTGCTGCGTCCTCCAGAGGGAAGGGATGCTGCCTCCTCACCTGGAGGAAGGGACTGAAGGGGAAAAGGCCCAATGCCACGTGAGCCTCTTTTATGAAAACCTTAACTCCATTCAGGAAGGAGAGGCCCTCATGAACTCATCGTCTTTTAAAGGCCCCACCTCTTAAAACTATCGCATTGGCCATTATGTTTCAACGTGTGAATTTTGGAGGGGACACATTCAAATCATAGCAATTTATAAACATAAACTACCTCTTGTTTATGCCATAGAAGATAGAGGAATGTAAAATAAGGGGAAACACAAGCAAAGCAGAACTGCTCTGTGCATTGCCTTGTTAGAGAGCTCTGTTTGCTGGAAAGGCCCTTGGAACTGCCAGTGTTAGTAGCCCAAAGAGGCTACTTGAAGGGGCTGGAAAGGGTTGCAGCCCCCAGGGTATAAGTTAATATATAGCCACATTGCTCTCTAGGCACAAGAAAACAATCATGGTATCAGAGTTGTACATAAAAACAATCCTTCCCTTACAGAATTCTGTTGAGTGCATGCCTCCTAAGGATGGAAGCCTTCCCGCTATGACAGCCACGCGAGGCACGGCCCCCAGCAGCCATGCGCAAGCTTGCCTATGGGAAAATCAAATGAAATGGAACCTGTGGCTGAGGCTTTCTTGGAAACGAGATGGGTGTCTGGGAACAAGAAGCTTTAGATTTACAGTGATCTTTTTTTTTTAATGTTTTTCATTGTGATGTTCAAACTTTTGCACCTGTGGTGATGTGAAAAAACCATGTTAAGCCTTCACTACATGCCAAGACTTGAACATTGATTTTTAAGACTGAGCAAGTGAAATCAGGTTCTTAAATGTCTCAATTCTATTTCCACAGCTAGAAACACCCAGAAAACAGGAGGCCATTTTGCAAATAACTCAGAAAGGTGTTTGAAATTGAGGTGATAGAGACCACCACGAAGAAAGGGGAAAGAGGGTTTACCTGGAAGGAAAGACTTAAGGAAGATGTGGAAATTATACTCTGAGATAAGGGCAAAACAAGGTAAACAAGGTAAACAAGGGTAAACAAGGAATCCCATTCAGGTGCTGAAATCACCACAGACATTTACTGGGCTGTGACTGTGTCAGGCATTGTTCTAGCCGGGTTACAGGTATTCATTCCATTTAGTCTCACCTGGCTAATGAAATGGATACTATTGACCAGGCGCAGTGGCTCACACCTGTAATCCCAACACTCTGGGAGGCAGAGGCAGGTGGATCACCTGAGACTAGGAATTCGAGACCACCCTGATCAACGTGGTGAAACCCTGTCTCTACTAAAAATAAAAAAATTAGCCAGACATGGTGGCAGGTGTCTGTAATCCCAGCTACTCAGAAGGCTAAGGCACAAGAATTGCTTGAACCCGGGAGGTGGAGGTTGTAGTGAACTGAGACTGCGCCACCGCACTCCAGCTTGGGAGACAGAATGAGACCCTGAAAAAAGAAGGGAAGGGGAGGGGATGGGAATGGAGAGGAGGGGAGAGGAAGGGAAGGGAGGGGAGGGGAGGGGAGGAGAGGGGAGGGGGGGGGGAAGGAAGGGAAGAAAGGGAAGGAAGGAAGGAATGAATGAAGGAAGGAAGGGAGGGAAAGAAAGAAGGAAGGAAAAGAGAAAGAAAGAAAGAAAGAAAGAAAGAAAGAAAGAAAGAAAGAAAGAAAGAAAGAGAAAGAAAGAAAGAGAAAGAAAGAAAGAGAGAAAGAAAGAAAGAAAAAGAAAGAAAGAAGAGAGAAAGAAAGAAAAAGAAAGAAAGAAAAAGAAAGAAAGAAAGGAGGGAGGGAAGAAGGAAGGAAGGAAGGAAGGAAGGAAGGAAGGAAGGAAGGAAGAAAGAGATACTATTATTACCTTCTTCAGGGATCCGAAGCAGAGAGTGGGGTCACCAGTGGACAGTGACACACAGCTTTGCAGCCAGTAGGAGGTGTAAGAATTGAAGGCAAAGTAACTGGTATCCAAAGTCTGCAATTATAGCCTTTATACTACCCACCCTCCTATCCAAAGAAGAGCAAGATACACACACAATGTATTAGGTAATACCTGTAGCCACATGTAATTTGGTTTATTCAGAATTGACTCAGAAAAGGTATAAATCCTAGTGAGATTTTAGATATGACCTCAAGTCATATCTAAAACACACACACAAATGAGATACATTGAGGTCCTGTTTTGCACTTGGTCTAATCAACTTTATGTATCTGTTTGGACTGAGAGCTCCTATATCACTAACTCTTGATAATTACAAATATTCTCTAGGAGTTTGCATACTATTTACTAAGCTCTCCTCTCAGCACTGTGCATACTTTCACCTATGGCATCCTCAGAATAGCCTTAGGAGGTCGTGGATGGGTTAAAATAATGCTGTGGGGAGGCCAAGGAGGGTGGATCATCTGAGGTCAGGAGTTCAAGACCAGCCTGGCCAACATGGTGAAACCCCGTCTCTACTAAAAATACAAAAATTAGCCAGGCAAGGTGGCAGGCACCCGTAATCCCAGCTACTTCAGGAAGCTGAGGCAGGAGAATCACTTGAACTGGGGAGACGGAAGTTGCAGTGAGCCGAAATCACACCAATGCACTCCAGCTTGGACAACAGAGCAAGACTCCATCTCAAAAATAAATAAATAAATAGATAAATAAGTAAATAATGCTGTAGCAAGCCAACCTCAAAAGATATGATGGCTCAAGCACAGCAGAAGTTCATTTCTTGCTCACATGTATATATATATATATATATATATATATATATATATATATATATACATATTTTTTTTTTTTTTGAGATGGAGTCTTGCTCTGTCACCCAGGTTGGAATGCAGTGGCGTGATCTCTGCTCACTGCAACCTCTGCTTCCCCGGTTCAAGTGATTCTCCTGCCTCAGCCTCCAGAGTAGCTGGGACTATAAGTGCTCACCATCACACACAGATAATTTTTGTATTTTTAGTACAGATGAAGTTTTACCATGTTGGCCAGGCTGGTCCCAAACTCCTGACCTCAGGCGATCCACCTGCCTCAGCCTCCCAAAGTGCTGAGATTACAGGTGTTAGCCACCGCACCCAGCCTTGCTCACATATAACTTTCATCAGTGTTCCTATTGGAAGGTGACTCTCCTCCAAGCAGTGACTCGGGGACCCAGACTCCTCCCATCTTGTGGTCCTGTCATCTTCAAAATGTGGCTTCCAAGTCACTATGCTTGCGTGTATTATAAGGGTGGAAAAGGAATTCACATGTGGAAATAGGAAAGTGGTACACATTCTATTCATTCATTTATTTACTCATTTATTTATTCATGTACTGATTGATTGACCTATGTATTTATTAGCTGTTACTATCTAAAGGAGAAGTAAAATGTGGTCTAGCAGTATGCCCAGGAAAAAGGGTGATTGTTTGGGAACAGCACTCCAGTCTTTGCCATGGCTAAATATATTAATATCCCCATTTTATAGATTAGTAAATGTTGGCACTGGAGAGTAAATAACTTACCCAAGTCATACAGTTGTTAAGTGTCAGAGCCTGGATTCAAACCCAGGTAGTCTGGTCCAAGAGTCCTGCTCTTAACAGAGATGACTGATTATTTCTCCTTAAAGATGTGATGAATTGAATGAAGCACCTGTGGGTATGTCACGTTCCATTTCTCAGCAGGACAGGCAGAGAAGTAGCATATTTCCTTCTTTTGAAGCCTTAACCCTCCTTCCTTCTTTCTTCCATCCCCTCATTGCCATTTAACTTATACTTTAGTGGATTCTTGTACAAGATTTCTCTATCAAGAGCTCCTACCAATACTAAGAAAGTTTTTGGTATTGAGTTCCAAATTTCAAAACTCTTATCACAGACTTGAATAGAAGCAGCAGTTACTACGGTACTGTGGTACTTTAATGACAGCAAGTCCTCCAGCCCAGTAAACTCCTACACTGAAATGAAATGGATAAGGGACAATCCTTTTTTATACTGGAACTTGAAAGTATAAAGGATATTCTATCAATTATAAAACTTTTTTCTATGAAAAAAATACTTTTAGATTCTGTAAGGTTTTTTCCCTAAATGTTTTAGTCTTGTTTCTCTTACACCCCTTTGCCTTTATTTCTAAGGCCTTGATCCACATTGAGTTAATATTTGAAAATAAGAAGTCTCACATGCACACGTATATTTATTGCGGCACTATTCACAATAGCAAAGGCTTGGAACAAATCCAAAAGTCCAACAATGATAGAATGGATTAAGAAAATGTGGCACATATACACCATGGAATACTATGCAGCCATAAAAAATGATGAGTTCATGTCCTTTGTAGGGACATGGATGAAATTGGAAATCATTCTCCGTAAACTATCGCAAGGACAAAAAACCAAACACCGCATGTTTTCACTCATAGGTGGGAATTGAACAATGAGAACACATAGACACAGGAAGGGGAACATCACACTCTGGAGACTGTTGTGGGTGGAGGGAGTGGGGAGGGATAGCATTAGGAGATATACCTAATGCTAAATGACGAGTTAATGGGTGCAGCACACCAGCATGGCACATGTATACATATGTAACTAACCTCTGCACATTGTGTACATGTACCCTAAAGCTTAAAGTATAATAATAATAAAAGAAAAGAAAAGAAAAGAAGAAAATAAGAAGTCTCATAAAGGAACTATATTGTACTTACGAAAAAGCTGCTTGTTTTCAGTGCTGTGCTCATAATAACTCTTTCCTCTCAGTAAGCCCTGTCCTTCAGGGCTCATTCATCTCTACCTTTCCACACCCCACTCGCTTTATGTCAACGTTTGAACTCTGCTTCCTCACAGAGCCTGCCAGTGGGCAGGACATGGAATGGGCCCGTGACTCTAGGCCTCCCCACAAGCTGAGTTTTGGGTTCTCAGAGTCTTCCCAGTTCTTAGAGACAAATCTCCCCAAACACTGTTGTTCTGTCTGACTACAAATGTCCCTGCTACAATTTCCGTTTCTATCCTTTGAGCTGACCCCCAGTCCTGACTTGGTCACATTAGACTGCACTACTGCCCTCCCATTCCACCCTCCTGCTTTGGAGGAAAGTTAAGTAGTTCTGCAGCCAGATCACTTTTTTCTTGCATAAATGTAGCCAGTCCTTTTTTCTCCCAACTAGCCACTGCTGATGAGTTCCCATTTTGCCTCAGAGCATAAACCATTACTATTGAGACCTTGGATAGCACTAGGGAAATACTAACCACATTCAGATACCTAGGTTAGCCACACTTGGATTATATTTACCAAACAGCTCCTTTTTTCCCTAGGCATACAGTTGAACAACATTTTCAAACCTCCCTTTTAGTTAGTTGTTGCCACACGCTTGAGTAATAGCCAAAGAAAAATGAATAAAAAGATGTGTACCACTCCTTCAATCCTCACGCTAATTCTTTTCCACATAATGCACACAAGCACGGTGACTTGGAAGCCACATTTGTGAAGATGGCAGGATCACAGACAGAAGGAGCCTGGGTCCCTGGGTCACTGTTTGGAGGAGAGTCACCTTCCCATCGGAACACCTGATGAAAGTTGTATGTGAACAAGAAATGAACTCTGTTGTGCTTGAGTCATGATACCTTTTGGGGTTTTTGTTGTTGTTGTTGTTGTTACAGCATTATTTTGACAAATCTACAACCTCCTAGGGCTATTCTGAGGGTGAAATGAGTGAATGCATGTATCCTGCTTAGAGGGGAGCTTAGTAAATAGCATGCGAACTCCTAGGAAATGTTTGCTATTATTATTACCAAAAGTTAAAGAGATGTGGAGGTTCTCAGTCTAAGCAAATAAATATAGTTGATTAGGCAAGTGTTAAATATGACCTCAATGTATCTCATTTGTATGTTTTTTTTAGATAATCAAGTTTCCCATTAAGAAAGCCACAGATGAAGGGCATCAAGTATCATTCATTCAACAATCAGCCAAATTGGACTGAGCACAAACTCTACACCAAACCTTAGGATTCATCTATAAAACAGCTTTGCTACTTGAAGTGTGGTTCTCAGACAAGCAGCATCAGCATCACCTGGAAGCTTATTAAAAACTACAGACTCTCAGACCCCCTCCTAGACCCACAGACTCAGAAGACGCATTTTGACAAGTTCCCTAGGTAGCTCATATGCACGCTGAAGCTTCAGAAGCTTTCTAAAAACGGATACCGTCCCAGACATCAGAGTACTGTCCATCCGTGAAAAGGAAGACGAGAAAGTAATTAACCCTGGCAGGGAAAATCAGGAAAGACTTTACAGCTGAAAAGTTTTGTTTTTTAATTTGGATCTTGAAGGATAAATCAAAGTTTACCAGATGGAAAAATAAATGCAGGCAACTTTGATAAAGAAGCTAGAGTGTAAAATGACACAGCCATGAAGGACTGTGATCTTTTCCTGTGGGGTTGCAAAGACAGTCTGTGGGCTGACTGTGAGGGCAGAACCAGAAAACATCTTCAAATTTACGTACACAAGGAGCTTGGATCCAGACCCCAAATTCGGAACACTTTGCAACCTGCTCTCCTGCACACCAGACACTAAGCTTGGAACAGGAGCCTTATCCTGTTCATAAAATTGAACGGGCGGCCTCCAACGATAGGTGTCACCATTTTCATGGGGCTTATGGTAAATACCACTGAAGATATCCAACCCTAAGCCCTGTATCAAGAGCCTCTGAGTACCCTGGAGGAGGAGGAGAGACTGCTCACTCGCCTAATACCCTGGGTTCCCTTAAAATCATGGGAAAGTTCACCTCAGCTGGGGCAGGGGTGGTGCAAAGCAGGATGATGCTGAGCTTACCGGGTAAGGCAGCAACTATACCTACCTAGGGGGTTAAGAGACAGCAAATGAAAATGGATCCCTCAAAACCTGGCATCATCCACAAAAGGTAAAAACAGATGGATACATGATGAAGGCTGTTTTTTTAGTATCAAAATAATTTAATACTGTCATAGTATTTTAAAATTGTACTCCACAAATGCTTAAAAATGAAACAATATTTGAGGTTGCAGGGCAGCTACCAGGACGAGGGACTTTCTCTCAGGGCACAAGCATTGTGTTTGCTCATCTTCCCACCAATCCTACAAAGCATTTTCCGCTGTCAGTCACATTTTCTAGGTGAAGAAATCAAATTGGAGAATCCAACCATATTTAAGTGAAACTGCATTCTAATCCTGGACCCATCACTTATTATCTGACACCACACTCCCTCTAGAAAACATACCCCTCCCATTCCTGAGTCTCCCCAGTGGTTAACCCCAAACATATCAAGTTTGCAGTTGATGGCACACACTCTGTGGCTTTGCATATTGTATTAAACAGCATTACCCATGCCCTCCAGTGTATATCATGGAAGCTGATCCTCCTACATACTCCAGCCTGGGTAACACCATGCTTTACCGTACACTTCCAATACTACCAACTAACCAACACTACCAAGTGTACCAAGCCATACAGCATTGCCAATAAGGCATAGTGTACGTTATAACTGGTAAGTTTAAGTGCATGGTACACCAGCTACACCATACACTTCGCCTTACTGGAAATGTTGTAATGGCTTGTGGCTAAATTTAGCTGGCTAAATAAATGAGCATTTTATCATGCTGCCACTGAAGGTGACAAACCTTCCCCATGTCCTCCTTGTGTCTATGTATAGGCTAATCTCCTCATGAAAGAATTTGTGATTTGAAATTTCATTTTGCCTTCACCTACAATATACTATTTCCAGAAGAGCTCTGGGAATACAAAATGGAAAGGCAAGAACCATCTTGACAATTCCCTCTCCAGCCAGCAAAGCCGTTCCTGGGAAGATCGTACCCTCCAGCACTCATCAAAAGTAATTACCCTGGAGAGGGAACACGGTTTGGAAAAGTAAGACCATTTCCATTATTACTTTCTTGTATTAAATAATAAATATTTAACACGATAAAGTTAAAGCAATCAAGATGACAAATGACAAAGAAAAAGGGTATGAGGTACAAAAATACTACTTGCTCTCCAGAGAGATGTTCCCAAGCAAAATAAACAATAAAATACTTTCATTGTTCTTTTAGCATTTTCTTCTAGCTTTATTTGAGAATTAAATGCTCCCATTGGGTTTAACCTGAGACCTAGTCTAACACTGAATCTTAGATGTTTGGCTTCAAACAGACCACAAACTCACGCAGGAATCCTGGGATTTACAAAGGAGTGTGTGCAACCAAAAAGGGTTTACAAGCTTTGATGAGCAAGTCCAGATACAAATTCTTATTAACACACTAATTTTCTCTGCCACAAAAGGAATTTATATTGTGAGAGCAGGCGTTCTACATGCAGAAGTTAAAAAGAGAACAATAATCCAGTTCCTAGCAGGCAATATCGGGAAAAAATAATATTAATACAATGAGAAATGTTGAGCTGATTTTTAATATGATTTTCTTAACACTTTTAAAATATTTCAATGATTATTGCAATGAAGTTGGTGCCAATTCTTCTTGATGTCCAGAAATACAAGATCAATTTGGACCTTAAATTTGCACAGGAAACTTACTACTAAAGCCTGCTTTCTGAATAGGTGAATGGGCAGCTATCTACAATATACAATTCAAAGAGCCTAGATTTTGTTTCCCAAAACAAATCTTACAACCTGGTTGGCTGAAATCTCACCATGAAAGCACTTTTGATCTGGTACAAAAGTAGCCTAAATATTGCTGAGCTACTTATAGGGAAAGGGATGGAGTTTTATTTTTTCAGCACTTACTTAGTCCCAAGAAATTGTTAGGCAGCTGGGTGCAGTGGCCCATGCCTGTCGTCCCAGCACTTTGGCAGTCCAAAGCAGGAGGATCATTTGAGCCCAAGATTTCAAGATCAGCCTGGGCAATAGAGTAAGACCTTGTCTCTACAAAAAAATTAAAAAATTAGCCAGGCATGGTGGCACATGCCTGTTGTCCAGCTACTCAGGAGGCTAACAGAGCCAGAGAGACAGAGCCAGACCCTTTCTCAAAAAAAAAAATATACACATATATATATTATATACAACATATATTAGGTACTTAACAAGTTACCTAACATATAATATATACTATATACAAAATATTTAATATATAGTATATACCAATATATATACTATATATTATATAAAATACATAATATATAGTATTTATAATGGTATATAGTATATATTATATAAATAAATATAATTTATATATATACTATATATTTTCATATATAGTATATACATTTTTATATATAATTTATATATATAATTTTTATGTGCTAATTATATATACTATATATATTTTTATATATACAATTTTATATAATATATAATTTTATAGATATATTTTTATGTACAAATTATATATATACTAAATATATAATATATATGCTATATATACTATATATAATATATATTATATATACTAATTATATATAGTATATATATTCTATATACTAACTATATATATTAGTATATATATTCTATATACTAATTATATGTAGTATATATATTCTATATACTAATTATATGTAGTATATATATTCTATATACTAATTATATATAGTATATATATTCTATATACTAATTATATATAGTATATATATTCTATATACTAATTATATATACAGTATATATTCTATATACTAATTATATATAGTATATATCTTATATATAATATATACTAATAATATATATAGCATATATATGGTGTATATATACTATAGAGTATATATAGATAGTATATATACATATACTATATATGTATAGTATACTATCAGTACACCATATAGCATACTATATATACTATATATGTATAGTATACTATATAGTATACCATATAGTATACTATAAATACTATATATGTATACTATACTATATGGCATATATATAATATACTATATATGTATAGTATACTATATAGTATACATATAGTATACTATATATACTATATATGTATAGTATACTATATATACTATATATGTATAGTATACTATATGTATACTATATGTATACTATATATACTATATATGTATAGTATACTATAAGTATACATATAGTATACTATATGTATACTATATAGTATACTATATATACTATACATGTATAGTACACTATAAGTATACATATAGTATACTATATATACTATACATGTATAGTATACTATATAGTATACATATAGTATACTATATATACTATACATGAATAGTATACTATATAGTACACATATAGTATACTATATATACTATACATGTATAGTATACTATGTAGTATACATATAGTATACTATATATATACTATTACATATACTAATTATAGATTTTTATATATAATTTATATATACTATATACAGCATATATAGTATATATAATATATATAGTGTATATATAATATAGACTAATTATATATTTTTATATATATAATTTATATATATAAATATATACTATATAATATATACTATATATAGTATATATATACTATACCTACACTATATATAGTGTATATATAGTATATATATATATATACTGTCTACTATATATAGTATATACATATATACTATACGTATATAGTATGTATATAGTATATATATACTATATACATATACATGTATATAGAGTGTATATATAGTATATACGTATATACTATATACGTATATAGTATATACGTATATACTATATATACACTATGTACTATATACAGTGTATATACACTATAGACACTCTATACAGTGTATATACACTATAGACACTCTATACAGTGTATATACTGTATAGACACTCTATACAGTGTATATACTGTATAGACACTCTATACAGTGTATATACTGTATAGACACTCTATACAGTGTATATACTGTATAGACACTCTATACAGTGTATATACTCTATAGACACTCTATACAGTATATATACTCTATAGACACTCTATACAGTATATATACTCTATAGACACTATATCCTATATATAGTGTACATAGAGTATATACACTATATACTATACTATATGTACACTATATCTCATATATAGTGTACATATAGTATATACACTATATACTATATATACTATATGTACACTATATATAGTATATATACTATATATAGTATACATAGTATATATACTATATATATCCTATATATAATAATTATAAATTTTTATATATAATTTATATACTGTATATAATATCAATACTATATATTTATATAATATATAGTATATATACATTTATAAAACTATATCATATATTTACATATTATATAAATATATAAATATATATTTATATAATATATAAATATATAAATATATATTTATATAATATATAAATATATAAATATATATTTATATAACATATAAATATATATTAATATATAATAGAAATATATATTTATGTTATATGAATATATATTTACATATTATATAATATATATTTATATAATATATACTAGATATTTAGATATTATATGAATATATATTTAGATAATATCTAAATATATCATATATTTAGATAATATATAATTATATAATATATTTAGATAATATCTAAATATATGATATATTTAGATAATATCTAAATAATGTAATATAATATATAAATATAATATCTTTATATATTATCTAAATATTTAGATAATATATAAATATTTATATATTATCTAAGTATATCATATATTTATATATTATCTAAATATATATATAAATATATTATAGATTATATAATATATCATTATATAAATATATTATAGATTATATAATATATATTATATAATTATAGATTATATAATATAATTATATAATATATTATATAATTATATAATATATTATATAATTATATAATATATTATATATTACATAAATAATATATTTATATAAATATATAAATAATATATTATATAATTATATATTATATATACATTTATATAAATATATTATATAATTTTATAATATATTATATATACATTTATATATCATATAATTATATAATATATTATATATACTTTTATATAATATATTATATATACTTTTATATAATATATCATATAATTATATATTATATATACATTTATATATCATATAATTATATATTATATATACATTTATATATCATATAATTATATAATATATTATATATACATTTATATATCATATAATTATATATTATATATACATTTATATATTATAGAATTATATAATATATAATATATTTATATATTGTATAATTACATAAATATATTCTATATAATTTTATGTATCTTAAACTATATATAAAATTAAGTACCATATATAATATACTTAAGATATCTAATATATAAATATATATAAATATATTTATATTATAATATATATTTTATAGTATATATAATTTTTATGTGTATATATTACATATTTTATATATTATATATTTTATACACTTATATATTTATTGTATATTTATATGTTATATAAATATATTTTATATGAATATATTATATAAATATATATTTATATAAATATGTTATATATAACATATATTTATATATTACATAGCTTAAGTATATAATATATGGTACTTAACATATAATATATGTTTAATATATAATATATAATATATGTAATATATATTATACACTGTATAATATATTTTTATATATTATATATTGTATATTTTATAGATTATATATTATATATATATATAAGGTAATTCATTAAGTACTTTGATCTTCCCAACAGCCTAATAAGGAATGTTAAATACACCTAATTTCCAAATGAGAAGCCGGTCTCACAGAAATGTAAAACACAGCATCTGCAGTCCATGCTCACAGAGGGGAAGAGTGAATGTTGGTAACAGTGCAACCATTGCCAGAGTCAATCCCTGCCTTTGCAGTCTACCACCCTATACAACCCGGAAGGAATATGGCATTAGGATTGCTTGGCCAAACCCCAGGAGTGATTGGTTTACACTCTTGTCATGTGGCTGAGAATCAGTTGTTTCAGCCTGAACCTCTTGGATCAGCCCTAGAACATTGGAAAATAATAGGACCTGGGTTGAAACAGCCCCATTCATCTCTATCAGGCTGGTTTAAGCATCTGAGAGACAGTAGCCAGGGCTGTGCTGTTTGTACCCGTGACTTCTCCTATTGTGTTAAGAGTCATTTGTAATGCCCTAGGGCATCCTAAAAAAAAACATGCCCACAGAAGCCGACAGAAAAGTGAGGAAGGAACTGAATGCTATCATTTGCAGTCGCTTCTGGATTAGATGGATTGCAGGGCCCAGGGCTGGCGGTTAAGGGTGGCTGCCTGGGTTCTCCTGATGCTCAACAAATTCCAGGCACAGACTCCTGACCTTTTGCTACCTAAACTTCTATCCAGGCCCCTACAATAATGGAGCTGCTTACAGGTGAATGGTGAGCTAATTTATGTAAATATGGATTTTGCTGGAGTCTTAAGGGTCTTCATAAAACATCTGCAAAACTAATGAAAAGTTGTTTAGTACAGTAAAAAAACCCAAGACTTCTATTTGAGTGCATAAATGTCTCTAAATGTGTAAGGGTTAAGGAAGAAAAGAAACCAACTGCCTCAGGAGACATTCAAATTATTCTAGTCTTTCTGGAAAAAAGTGACTGTGGAGGAGTTGTAAATCTTTTCATTGTGCCACTAATTGCTACCAAGGAGAGCATTCCGACGCAGGCTGCCAAGGCTGGGGAGGACAAGGTTCCCTCTTGAGTTCTTTAAAAGCTGGGCCATTGGTGAGTTCTGAAGGAGTCTGTGCACCCACACTAGAAGGTCTCTTTTAACCGCATGGTTCTCTACATCCATAATTAACAATCTCAAATTTTAAGACCCTTACAATTATAAAACAGTTTCTATCAAAGCAGTGTTTTCAGACTTTAAAGTTTTAGATGATAGGTTTCCAAGAGAGGAGAATTATGTTTATTATCTACTTTGTATCTAGGTGCATGGTTCTCTCATTTAAGGCTTCAGTTTCCATGGAAACAGGCTGTGGGGCAATGTATGGTTATCAGGAACATTTCCTTTAACACCTCCCAGTCTTTCAAAAGTACTTGCAACCAGCCTACCTATATAAAGTCTTAAATCTTTATAATTAAATTTACATGTAGTAAAAGTACTAAGCCCCCAACAGAGAAATAGAAACAATGCATGAAGAGACAATAAACACTTGTCATTCATTCATGCAGTATGACTGAGTGTTCCACAACTGCCAGCCATCGAGCCCCGCTCCGAGGGGAAAAAAGAGAGAGAGGACCCAGCTTCTAACCACTAGACACGTGCACTTCACACACTGTGGAACTGATTAACAAACACTGAGAAATGCCAGCCTGACTAGTAATAACAGAACAGCAAATGTACAAAATTAAAGAGCCCCATCCTTCAAGCTACCAACTTTGGGAAACTGTGATAGCAACCAGTGTTTGTAAGGCACTGAAACGGGAGCTCTGTGCTGCTGGTTGCTTTTTGAAACATCAAATCCAGTTCTTCTACTTCTGAAAAATAACTCTAATGGGAAAATAGGTTATGCATAAAGATATTTACAGTAACATTATTTTTAATTGTGGAATACTGGAAAAAATGGATATTCAACAATAATGGAATCATTATATTCCATTGGCAGAACTGCATTTAGGCATTAAAATAATACCCATGAAGATTATAAAAAAATGGAAAATTCCTGTTTATGTCAACTCTAAAGAGAGATTTGTGTGCACAGTTTGACAGTTACCATTAAAAAGTTTGTATTAAAAAACAAGCAATGGGGAAAGGATTCCCTATTTAATAAATGGTGCTGGGAAAACCGGCTAGCCACACGCAGAAAATGGAAATTGAACCCTTCCCTTACACCTCATACAAAAATAATCTCAAGGTGGATTAAAGACTTAAACATAAAACATAAAACCATAAAAAACCTAGAAGAAAACCTAGCAATACCATTCAGGACATAGGCATGGGCAAAGACTTCATGACTAACACACCAAAAGCAATTGCAAGGAAAGCCAAAATTGACAAATGGGATCTCATTAAGCTAAAGAGCACAGCAAAAGAAACTATCATCAGAGTAAACAGGCAACCTACAGAATGGGAGAAAATTTTTGCAAATCTATACATCTGACAAAGGGCTAATATCCAGAATCTACAAGGAACTTAAACAAATTTACAAGAAAAAAAAAAACAACCCCATCAAAAAGTGGGTGAAGGATATGAACAGACTCTTCTCAAAAGACAGTATATATGCAGCCAACAAATATATGAAAAAAAGCTCATCATCACTGGTCATTAGAGAAACGCAAATCAAAACCACAATGAGATACTATCTCATGCCAGTTAGAACGGCGATCATTAAAAAGTCAGGAAACAACAGATACTAGAGACGATGTGGAGGAAATAGGAACACTTTTTACACTGTTGGTGGGACTGTAAATTAGTTCAACCATTGTGAAAGACAGTGTGGCGATTCCTCAACAATCTAGAACCAGAAATACCATTTGACCCAGCCATCCCATTACTGGGTATATACCCAAAGGATTATAAATCATTCTGCTATAAAGACATATACACACATATGTTTATTGCAGCCCTGTTCACAATAGCAAAGACTTGGAGCCAACCCAAATGCCCATCAGTGATAGACTGGATAAAGAAAATATGGCACATATACACCATGGAATACTATGCAGTCATAAAAAAAGAATGAGTTCATGTCCTTTGCAGTGACATGGATGAAGCTGGAAACCATCATTCTCACCAAACTAACACAGGAACAGAAAACCAAACACCGCATGTTCTCACTCATAAATGGGAGTTGAACAATGAGAACACATGGACACAGGGAGAGGGAACATCACACACCAGGGCCTGTCGGGGGGTGGGGGGCAAGGGGAGGGAGAGCATTAGGACAAATACTTAATTTATGCAGGGCTTAAAACCTAGATTATGGGTTGATAGGTGCAGGAAACCACCATGGCACATTTACACCTATGTAACAAACTTGCACATTCTGAACATGTATCCCAGAACTTAAAGTAAAATAAAAATTAAAAAAATAAAAATTCAGTAAGAATTAAAAATGGGTATAATTTCCACAGCTCTGGAGTAGGTCCATTGTTCCAATAAATACCTCTCATTTATTGACTGATGGCTGAAAAAAAAGTTTGCATTCAAATAAAGACTGAACATTAATATCCCAAATTATTAACAATAGTCCTTTTATGGCATAATTTTCCTTCTTTCTAATTATCTATATATTCAAATTTCTGTAATAAATACAGTCAGCCCTCTGTATCCAACCGTGCATCAAAGTATTAGGGGGAAAAAAAACAGTACAATACTGAAAAATGATACAAACAAAAAATATAGTATAAGTATTTACATAGCATTTACATAGTATTAGATACCATAAGTAATCTAAAGATGATTTAAAGTATAGTCATACATTGCTTACTGACAATGTTCCGAGAAATCTGTTGCTAGGTGAGTTTGTCATTGTGAAAACATCACAGAGTGTGCTTAAACAAACCTAGATTGCGTAGCCTACTAACACCTAGGCTATATGAGATAGCCTACGGCTCCTAGGCTACAAACTTGAATAGCATATTACTGTAACACGATGTTAATTATTCGTGTATCTGAACATCTCTCATCTCTAAACATAGAAAAAGTACAGTAAAAATACAGTATAAAAGATTAAAATGGTAACCTTTTAGGGCACTTAACATTAACAACGGTAAGTTGCTCTGGGTGGTTGATGAGTGAGTGATGAGTGAATATGAAGGCCAAGGACATGACTATACGCTACTGTGGGCTTTATAGAAACTGCGCATTTGGCCTACACTGAATTTATACAATCATTTTCTTTATCAATAATAAATTAACCTTAGCTTACTGTAATGTTTTTCCTTTATAGGCTTTTAAATTTTCTAACTTTTGACTCTTTTCTAATAACACTTAACTTAAAATACAAACATGTTTACAGCCATCCAAAAAAGATATATTTTTTATGTCATCATTCTACAAGAGTTTTTCTATTTTTAAAATTTCTAATATTTTTTAATTTTTTTAAGTTTTTTGCTAAAAACTAAGACATACACACATTTGCCCAGGTCTGTACAGGCTCAGAATCATCAACATCAGTGTCTTCAACTTCCACCTCTTGTCCCACTAGAAGATTTTCAGTGGCAGTGACATGCATGGAGCTGTCACTCCCTAGGATAACAATGCCTTCTTCTGGACACCTCCTGCAGGACCTCCTCAAGGCTATTTCACAGTTAATATTTTTTATAAGTAGAAGGAGAATACTCTAAAGTAATAAGAATAAAAAGTATAGTACAATAAATGCATAAACCAGTAACATAGTCCTTTATTAGCCTGCTCACATCTTATGTACTGGACACCATTGTAAGTGCTAGACTTTTACACAGGTGGCAGTGCAGTGCAGTAGGTTTGTTTACATTGGTGTCCTCACAAACAGCGAGTAATGCATCGTGCTATGACATTAAGATAACCACAACATCCGTAGGTAGTAGGAATTTTTCAGCTCCATTATAATCTTATGGAAACGCCATTGTATATGCAGTCTGTCGTTGACCAAAATGTGATTATGTAGCACATGGCTATATATGGGAAGATGTGGGTAGGTTATATGCAAATATTATGCCATTTTACATACGGGGCTTGAGCATCCACAGATTTTGGTATCATTGAGGGTCCTGGAACCAACACCTGCAGATACGGAGGCCCAGGTGTATACAGTAGTCCCCCTTGTCCATGGTTTTGCTTTCCAAAATGTTAGTTAACCATCGTCAAGCATGGTTCAAAAATATTAAATGGGAAATTCCAGAAGTAAACATTTACATACGTTTTTGCGGCATATTTTCATAATTGTTCCATTTTATTATTGTTGTTAATCTCTTATTGTGCCTAATTTATAAATTAAACTTTGCGATAGGTGTGTATATATAGGAAAGAACAGTATATATAGGGTTCAGTACTGTCTGACGTTTCAGACTGGGGGTCTCGGAACGAATCCTTCAAGGATACGGGGGCCGTATTGTCACTTTTAATTGCGTCACCAAACAAGACTGGGGAGTTTCTGCCAATACATCTCCTCTTTTCCATGATTATCCTTCACCACAAAACGGCCAAAGAAAACATCACATTTATAAAACAGACACTGCCTAAAGAATATACGTAAAATTTAAACAGTACATCCATAGCCCTTTCCAAAAAGGAAATGCAGGATTTGTTTTTAAGATGAGATCACTGAGAATGGTCTGAGATGACTGTCTAGGATCCCTCAGCCCTGAAACAAGTCAGTGTGAGTCCAGTAATGGGACTGCATCAGAGTCCATTGGACTTCAGGAGTGCAGGAGGGTGTCATGAGTTACACTCCACCAATTAAGGTCAGTGTAGAAAATCTGCTGCCTCTGTGGAACAGTCATCTACCCCATTTTGAAGACTTGCTTTTCCTAAATTTGTCACTGACAAGCAAGATGTGGAACTGGGTCTTTCAGTGACTCCATTTCCTCATTTTTCAGATGAATTCCCTTTAAGGGGGAACTCCCTGCCTTAACAGGTCACTTTGAGATTTTACTTAGCCATGATTGTGAAAACACCTTGGAAAGTCATGTTGTGCACTCTTTTTTGGCCACCTAGAATGTGTGAGCCCTACTCCTGGGTTTGGGGAATTCCCTGCCTAAGAAATATTGGTGGGAGGTAGAAAACTCCCTCCTCCCTAGACAGAAAAGGGCACAGGCAATGCCAGCCTCACTCTTTCCCTGGAAGCTAGCGTGCATGCCCTTGCACAGCGAGGCTGCCTCCCAGATGCACCTGGTCCACCTGAACTAGACCAAGAGATGCTCTGGCCACAGTGTGGCTGCAGCAAGGTCCAGCTCCTGAGCCAGTGGGAACCCCAGCAGCACTGTGGATGACTCCAATATCAGGACTAGAGCTTGACACTAAGCGGGGTGAACAGTGATGTATTCTTCAGAGCAATTTTATGACAAGGTTTGGGGTATGTGCCTGATTCTTTAACCTTCCTGGCAATCATGTAACCTATCCAACATTCTTTTTTAAAATACCATCATTTTATAGTTCTTAAACCTGCCAGAGTTGATTGGGTTGCTCGTAACAAAAAAATGATGACTGATGGAAATAATAAGGAGTAGTATTTTTCCCAAATAAAATATGGTGTTAACATGCTAACCTTTTTTAAAATCTCTGGCTTTCAACATCTGTAACTATTAAGTGCATACTTAGAGATGAGCTCTCAAATATAAATTCAAGAGGTACTGCCTCCCTTGTTTCAATCTAAATTTATATTCTAAATTTCTTTATTTAACTTTCAAAAATATTGTGCTAATGTTAAAGAATTTGTAATCAATGATAAATACAACTAAAATTAGTAGTTAATGTGAATTTTATTTTCATATCAATTCAGAAAATTTAGAATGCCATAAAACTTTCAACAACATTAACTTGTTAAACCGTAAAAGACAATTTTAGAGACTACATACTAAAAGCCTAGAATATTAATATACATAGTTAAGAAAAGTTCATGAGCTAATGTCCAAATTATCTCTGACATTCAACAAAGTTCTAATAGCAATGTTTTGGCAGAAAAGAAAGGTTTTTCGGTCTCTGAAGAGCAAATGACTGTTTATATCATCTCTGTCATTGCCTGAGTCAGTAAATTGCCTCAATCATGTAAATTAAATAATGTTAAATTTTCTGCTCAAGTATGTCTTCTAGACTCATACTTTTAGGTTGTTAATAGTGAGTCAGAGGATCCCACTGAAAAAATAAAGAATTCTGGTAAGGATGTAAAAGACACATTATTACCCTTGCAGGTAGAGACCAAAATATGAAAAAAATGCATTTGTTAAAAAAACAAGGCAACGCACAATAAGCAGAGAAAGATACAAAACAATGTAGATTAAGGCAGAACAAATAGAACTTTATTCATGATGCAATTTCAGAGTCTGGTAAAAGTCGTTTTTTCCCTTCCAATGTTGATCAACTCATGAAAATGAAATTCACACAACCAGAACATGTAAATATATAGAAATACACAAACATGCTCACACATACAGTACACCCCACATACATGTAGACAAATATATGATTGGATTTGCAAGCTTTCCTGGATATGGAAGGCTTATAAATAAATCAAAAAGAATCAGACAGCATTGTCATTCACACTGAGTGCCTGTATGAGTCAGGGTTCTCTACAGGGACAGAACTAACAGGATATATGTATATATGAAGAGGAGTTGATTATGGAGAATTGACTCAACACAATTAAAAGGTAAAGTCTCACGATAGGCTGTCTGCAAGTTGAGGAGCAAGGAATTCAGTAGTGGATCAGTTTGAGTTTCAAAACCTCAAAAGTAGGGAAGCCAACAGGGCAGCCTTCAGTCTGTGGCTGAAGGCCTGAGGGCCCTGAGAGACCTTGGCAAACCACTGGTGTGAGTCCAAGAGTCAAAAAGCCGAAGAACTTGGAGTCTGATGTCCGAGGCCAGAAGCACCCAGCGTGGCAGAAAGAAGAAGACTGGAAGACTCAGCAAGCCTGCTTCTTCCACCTTCTTCTGCCTGCTTTTTCTAGCCACGCTGGCAGCAAGGGGATGGTGCCCATACCGATTAAGGGTGGGTTTGCCTCTCCCAGTCCACTGACTCAAATGTCATTCTCCTCCAGCAACACCCTCACAGACACACCCAGAAACAAATACTTTGCATCCTTCAATCCAATCAAGTTGACACTTAATATTAACCAACACAGTGCCCAATATTACAAACATTAAAGGTATGTGCATTAATAAACTATAAAAGAATCTTCTACAGGTGATCTAGTCCATTGGCTCACTTCCACATGGAAAATATGAATGCTTGCATCCGAAAAAAATGTATAGATTCCTTTTCATTATACGCCTTCACCTTTGTATTTTCACTAGAAGAAAAGCCGGGGATCATGGAAGCTTTCGATACATGATATAATGCCTTTCTTAAAATGAAAATCTTAGGTTCTTTGGTTTGAATGTGGATATGATGGAGTGAAAGAAAATGCAGCTGCAGAAACAATGGGATGATGGTGTTTCAGGTCTGCTTTCCTTGCCACTGTTAGATTTCAACGTGTCAGCAAAGGCAGGCCGGGAGCTGCTAGAGCTCAGATTTCAGCTTTTTTTCTGGGAAACAGTTCAGTCCCACTCATCATCTGATTAAAAAGAACTAGGAAACAGAACGTACCTGGTTGGAGTGGATGAACAAGTGCTGAATCTTTCTTCCACTCTCCACTCAGACAGGAGAAAGCAGCTCAGCCCTGACTGCATTCAAGTTTTTGTCTATCAGGCCCTGGACAGGGTACAATGCTTCATCGTAAAAATGTTGCCTAAAGAAGGCACCTCCTGCTGTGGAGCTGAAGGCTGTGTTCTTAGGAAGCAAAGAGGAGGATTCACAGCAGGAAAATTGCTCTGTGCTTGCAGTACTCATGGGTGCACACTCACAGGCATTTGAGAGAAAGGCCAAGTGCGTTTCCAGATTTTCTCTGCCAACATGTGGGAGGGAATGAGGATATACAGTGCCTCTGTGTGTGGATAAAAGGGAAGGCGATTAATCCAGTCTACATCAGTATCTCATGACCCACAAAGACAGGAACTTCTTTACGGCTAACAAAATGGTCTTCAGGGCATTGTAACTCTGGCTGTAACTGTGGTAATCGATGTTGAAGCCATCACCCACATCACCCCGATTCATACCCACTATTTTCTACAGAACCATAGAACTACTGAATCTTCTACAAAAGGTCTTTGTCATCTCTTAAAATTTTCTTGGCTTTTCATTGCTCGAGACTAAGTCTTAGAAAGAGCAAAACAGTCTACTCCACAACTAACTGACAGGTACAAAGGAAGACTCATGACATCCCCAACTACAACAGCGAGAGCATGAAAAGCCTTTCCTTGTGCTCACCTTTCTCTTCTCTATCCAAGGTCCTGAAATGGCCAGCCAGCCACTGAGGCATCTTCACTTTTCTCCTGAAACCGTGACCAGTACTCATAACCCCCTAACAATTCACCCTTAAACTCAGCCCTTAGACTAACCCAACAGTCCCCCAGTGTGGTTTGGGAACCCATGGGGAATCCCAAAATTTCAAGCAGTCTGCAAAGACAAACCTATTTTCACAATATTACTAAGATGCCATTTTCCTTTTCACTGTTAATCTCTCACAAATATGCAATGGAGTCTTCCAGAGCCTACCGGACACAGAATGTTAACAAAAGTTTGAATGCAGAAGCGGATATAAAAATCCAGCTGGTTTCCATGAAGCCAGATGTTAAACAGAGTTGCAAAAAATTTAAAACAAGCTACTGTCCTTACCCCACTTGTTTTTGTTTTAGAAAACAGTTATTTCCGTAAAAATGTACTTTTATATTAACATGTAATGGGCTTATTATTTTTAAATGAATAATCTGTTTTATAATTTTTAATTAAATAAGTCTTAATTTTTGCAATAAATTCCAACAGATACGACCCACTTAAACAAAATCTCATTGAGATCCTGAATACATTTTAAGAGTGTAAAGGTGTTCTGAGACCAAAACATTTAAGAAGTGCTGGACTAGAATATATCACAGCCTCACTCTGCTACTTCCTTTGCTCTGCCAACAAATAAGAAGGGCCTGAGCTCATGATGTGGCCACAGGAAATCCAATGTTGTCTGTGTCTAAACACTGAATGGTTGGGAAAGGTCAGAGGCTAGGCTGACTCATGCTCCTTCTATCATTCGGGGTTTGATGGAAGAAACAGAACCACTATGGGGGGATTTTGACTGAGGATTTGTCATAGAGATTGGAGCTCAAGCAACCATAAGAGCTCATTAAACAGCCTGTGTGAGGAGGCTACCTTTTTCTGTCTGGGGCAGGAGCCTAAAGTCATCAGGACAGGCTGGCAGAAAGGAGAAGTGGACATAAAGTTGAGGAGCAAGGACACACTGAGAAATTCAGGACAAGCTGGAGCCCCGGAGAACGACGGGAACCTGCTTGAGCCTTCAACAGAGGAGGCCAGTGGCCTGCCGCAGAAGCTGCTCCTTCCTCGTGGAACTAAAAAAGCACCTGGTACAGGAGGCAAAGGCCCTGGAGGAGGAGATGCTCAGGACCAGAGTGGCTGCTGTCCCATCCCAAGGTGAGCCAGGAGCTGAGCACCATGGGCTTGGGCTGCAACAGAGCTTCATGCCCTTCACAGATCCTTCCATGTAAAAGTATAAGACCCAGACTTCACTTTTACCTCCAAATCTCATGAGAAACCTTTCTTGTGACCCATCCAAACTCGTAATTGTACGGAGAAGAAAACTGTGGAATGTATTGACCAATTCACTCACTACTGCTGATTGACACAGGAGTCCTTCAACTCAGCGTCCAGATGTGCAAGGCTTCAGGAGTGCTCAGTGTTCAACAATCAAGTGAAATTCATCTTGGACTCTTCATCATTTTCTGTTCCTTTTAAAGCATCTGATACCTCCTCTTCCAGCATTTCTCACCATAGCCAATCTAATGCATTTTTTTTTAAAAAAGCTATCCAATGTGAGCACCCCAATATCGCCTATATTATCTCCCAGTTCCACCATTTATCCAACCTCCTTACCTTCCTGTCTGGCATATTTTAGAATCTTAGTAAATATTATTAGCCATGGTGGCAGGCACCTGTAGTCCCACCTACTCAGGAGGCTGAGGCAGGAGAATCAATTGAACACTTTTACCTCCAAATCTCAGGAGTTGGAGGCCACAGTGCACTATGAAGGAACCTATGAAGAGCCACTGCACTCCAGCCTGAGGAGCAAAGAAAGACCCCATCTCTAAATAAATAAATAAATGTATTGATTTAGTCAAATAACCAATCAATGACAGAGTGATTATCCGGATTCTCAGTGGCACCAATCCCTCAACCCAAGTCAGTTCTTCTTCTCACCTTCATTAAATGTTTCAACACCTCTTTTATTTCTTTAAAAATATTAAACATAATCATTTATATTATCTTCAATAAGTGCATTATCTGAAGTCCAATGCGTCTGATTCTGCTGTCTGTTTTTTCTGCTGTCACTTACAGTGGCCTTTTTTTTTTTTTTTTTTTTTTTTTGTGAGACGGAGTCTCACTCTGTCACCAGGCTGGAGTCCAATGGCACGATCTCGGCTCGCTGCAACCTCTGCCTCCCAGATTCAAGTGATTCTCCTGCCTCAGCCTCCTGAGTAGCTGAGACTATAGGTGCGCACTATCACGCCCAGCTAATTTTTGTATTTTTACAAATACAAAAATTTTACCACAGCGTTTCACCATGTTGGCCAAGATGGTCTCAATTTCTTGACCTCGTGATCTGCCTGCCTTGGCCTCCCAAAATGCTGAGATTACAGGTATGAGCCACCATGCCCAACCAGTAGCCTGCATTTTTTTTTTTAAGAAAAATGTTACCATGACCTCATGTGTCTTGCCAATTTATCTTTGGGAATTCATTGAGGCCAGAGTTGGAAATAGGCTCTTCTACAGAGATTTCTGAATTTATTTTTGCCATACACCAGGAGGTATATCAACCTAAAAGTAAACCAAGAGCAAATTGAGGTCTAGTGATGTGGCATGACTTGGGGCTGTCTAAACATGTAAGAGCTAGTTTATAGTTATGAGTTCATCAAGGCAGAACTCTTCACTTCCACTGAATATCAAGATTTGAGACACAAAGTTCCTGCTCACTGTTACATTTAGGTGGAGGCTCGTGTGATGTTAGTGCTGATCAGTGGCCCCTTTTTAGACTCTCCCTTGAGTGGACCCAAGGCTTTGGTTCTTGTCCCAGGCCCCATGTCATAGTTCACTCCTATCTATGAAAGGAAAAACTCAGTCATCTGGGTTTAGCAATTGCAAAAGTTGACTTCATTGCTCTTATGATCTCTCTGCGTTCTCAATTTTCTCTTTGTTTTTGACTTCTGGGGCTCATTTCCCTGCTAGAACACACATTTTCTCCCATATTTTAGCCATCAATTTTAGTTGTTTTGAGTGGGAGGATCAGTCAGGTTATCTAATTAGCAGTACTGCTAGAAATGTAAGTTTCCATTCACTTTCTTTTATTAAACAGTTTTAAACCTCCATTATATGCAATGCAATTTTAAGCACTGACATAGCAACATAAACATGATATATTATCTACCCCCAAGGAATTTAGAGAAGACTGAGAGGCATAAAACATAGATCAATAATACAGTGATGAAAATACAATATCATACAATTGGCACTCAGAGAGAGACATAAGCATGGGAGGCTAAGGAAGTACAAAGGAGAGGGAACCTCACCCATTTGCTTGGGAGAAAAGCACACGAAAGTCGCAGCAGTCCCCAGATGCCAACTATCACCAAGACATAATAACACGCGCCTTTACTTCTCACTCATCCAACTATGGGTAGGCTGGTATCAGCTCAACTTGGCTGAGTTTGACCAAGCTTTGTTCTAAACTACAAGTTTTGTTTAGGCTTGCCTGAGATGTCTCTCATTCTTCTGGGACCAGCAGCTGCATGTTTTCATGCCAGCACAAATCTCTCGAAGGAATGAGTGGAAACACACCACATCCCTTATTCCGAGGCTCCAAATCCACAGTCACTTTTTCCCACATTCAATTGGCCACAGCAAGTCACGTGGCCACACTCAACATTTACCGGGTAGGAAGTGCACCCCTGGCAGGGATGTGAGGGCAGAGGGGAAGGTAGAGGGAAGGTGTGAATATTTGTCAAGGAATAGTCTAATCTAACACAGAAGAGTTCAAGAATTTATATTTAGATTCCACTTTAAAGGGAGATAGGAATTCAGAAGATTGGTTGATATGGTTTAGCTCTGTGTTCCCACCCAACTCTCATCTTGAATTGTAATCCCCATGTGTTGAGGGAGGGATCTGGTGGGAGGGGATTGGACCGTGGGGGCAGTTTCCCCCATGCTGTTCTCATGATAGTGAGTTCTCATAAGATCTGATGTTTTAAAATTATGCAACCGTTTTCTCCCACTCACTCGCTCTCTCCCGCCACCTTGTAAAAAACATGCTTGCTTCTCCTTCACCTTTCCCCAGGCCTCCCCAGCCATGCAGAATTGTAAGCCAATTAAACCTCTTTATAAATTACCCAGTCTCGCATAGTTCTTTATAGCTGTGTGAAAATGGACTAATAAATGGATCATTCTGGGAATTAAGAAGGAGCACATGTAAAACAGTCCTGAGCAGGGTTTACAAGGCCATAGTAACGGAACCAGGCCCTCATGGCATGCAGAGGACGTGGGCAGGAGATGGCACTGGAGTAGACAGGGCCCAGGGAAAAGCAGCCTGTGTCTTCGTAAGCCTTACTCTGCATACAGTAAGGAGCCACCAAAAGGTTCTGGGTCTTTTCACCACAAAAAATAAGTATGTGAGATAAGGCACGTGTTAATTAGCTCAGTTTAGCCATTCCACAATATATGAATATTTCAAAACATCATATTGTACACAATAAATATGTACAATTTTTATTTGTGAAGAAAAAATCAATTCAAAAAATATATAAAAAAATTAAATTCAAATTTTTTTAAAAGGTGTTAAGCCAGAACAATAGAATCAGTCTGCATTTTATTGAGCTCATGATGACATCTCATTAGATAAGAGAGGGGAACTGGTTAGTTGTATGATGAAATGACCCAGAAAAAATAATGACAAGAGGTTGAATGGGTTATGGCAGTAAAATTAATAAACTAATGCTGGATTCGGGAGCTATTTAGGGATAGATTAATAAGCTAATAAAAGTAAAGGGCTTAGCAGTGTCTGATGCAATGTAAGTCCTCACTAAATATTAGAAGCTACTATTAATAGTAACAATAGAACCTGATAATTTTGTGACGGGTGGGAGTGGGGAGATAAGAACAAGGTAGAAATATAAAATGTCTTTCAAGTGTCTAATTTAAATAACCCGATGAAATAGGTTTTTTCAGACGAGGAAGAATAAGCTTATAAATAGAAAAATGACAAATTCAGTGGTAGACATGTTAGCAACACTAAAGAAAAACTTCAAAAGTGACTAGAGAAATTTTGGAGGAGCAAGAATCTGACAGCTGACTTTTCAACAAGAGAAATGGAAGTCAGAAAAAGACAATGCAATGCTACCTTCAAGCTGCTAAGGAATCTCAATACCTGTCACTCTAGAATTCTATACCCAGCAAAGTTATAACACAAGAATGCAGGTGACATAAGAAGCAAGAGACAGATCCAATTATGTTCATACCTGCATTTTATACAACAGCCCCAAACCAAAGGAATGAATCATTAAATTGTGGTGTATGCATATAATAGAGCAATATACAGCTGTGGTTCTTAAAATGGGGTGCCCCTAACAACAGTATCAATAGCACCTGAAAACTTGTTAGAAATACAAACTCTTGGGCCCTGTCCCAAACCTACTAATTCATAATGTCTGGCTGGGGGCCAGCAATCTGTGATTTAACAAGTCCTCCAGGGGACTCTGACACACCTTGAAGTTTGAAGACACCTGCTCCTGTGATTTAACAAGTCCTCCAGGGGACTCTGACACACCTTGAAGTTTGAAGACACCTGCTCCACAGTAATGAACATGGACAAACTACAAGTTCATGCAACAAAACAGCTAAATACTCAAAGCATAATATTGCAAGAAAGAAGCCAAAGTCACAATAAGTCAAACTGTATATTCTACCTATAAAAAGATTGCTTTAAAAAAAGATACAACTAAATTGTTTAGGGATACAGAATTGAGAGGAAAACTATTAAGCATAAAAGGAAGTGTTTAACATTATCTCTGATAATCTCAGTGATAATTGGTGATTATCTCTAGGGGAGGGAATAAGGTGTTATTATTAGGAAAAAACATTTAGGAGCCCTCTGGTTGTTGAAAATGCTCTATTTCTTGACCTAGACAATTACATACCTTTTTACTTTATAATTTATAAACAACATATTTTCTATACACTTCTTTGTACATGATGTTTCACTATATATTATATACACAACATATTGCATAATATATAACTTATATGATACATTATGTTTAAATAGAAAAAAGCAAATGGGAATATTTGTAACAAGTAGAGTCAAATCCAGTAAAATCTGTCTGAAAAGAGATAATCTGGAAAGGACCACAGCCCTGGGAAATAGAATTTAAAAATGCACTAAACCGAGTTATATTTGAGAGATGTGTATCTTTTATTCATGCTGTGCTCTAGTGCCTAGGAGCCTCTTTGACACACAGTACGCGCTCAATGAATGTTTGTTGAGTGAATAACTGAAAGCATGGAAGTAGATGTCAGGCAGCCAGCAGGAAGTGAAGCAGAGTTTCCTCTGGAAAACAGAGATGGAAGGTATTCAAGGAAAAGGAGAAAACCCAGATGCCACAGGCACTTTGAGAAGAAAGAGTTGAGGAAGCAAACTGATTGGCCCCTTAGGGAAGGACATCAATCATGACACTAACATGTAACTGAGGTCATTTGTTCTCTAGCCCGACAGTCCCCAACCTTCTCGGCACCATGGACCAGTTTTGCGGAAGACAATTTTTCCACGGATGAGGACGGGGGTGTGTTTTATGGATGATTCAAGTGCATTACATTTATCGTGCATTTTATTTCTATTATTATTACGTGATAATATATAATGAAATAATTAAACAACTCACCATAATGTAGAATCAATACGAGACTTGAGCTTGTTTTCCTGCAACTAGATGGTCCTATCTGGGGGTGATGGGAGACAGTGACAGATCATCAGGCATTAGATTATCATAAGGAGCACGCAACCTAGATCCCTCACATGCACAGTTCACAATAGGGTTTGCACTCCCATGAGAATCTAGTGCCAACACTGATCTGACAGGAGGCGGAGCTCAGGTGGTAATGCGAACGATGGGGAGTGGCTGTAAATACACATGAAGCTTTGCTGGCTCCCCTGCCACTCATCTCCTCCTGTGCAGCCCAGTTCCTAACAGGCCACAAACAGGTACTGGTCCATGGCTCAGGCACTGGGGACCCCTGCTTTAACCACAGGCTCAGAGAAGCAGAAAAACATTTCATATCCCCCCATCAATGCAGTGAGAATTCTGAGAACCTCCATACCTCCTGAGAGGGGCAGTGCATCTTGCCAGCAGGATTTTGCAGTCATGGAGCACAACTAAAAGAGAGGGAACAAGGACAACTAGGAAGAATATATAAAATGAGCCCCTGAAATGGCACCAAATGAATTTGGGGAAACTCCATTATTTAAAGAATAAATGGAGAAAGTTGAGCATGAAAAGCCCCTATCTCTCATATTGTATCAGTGTGTCTTTAACCGTTCACTTCCCCTGGTCTGATGCTTTCACCAACAGTCTTTATGCCCAGACAACAATCCTGCCCAGGATGGACTCACTCACTGTCGTTAGCCCTAGCCCAGCCTCTTTCCTTTCACATCACAGACCTCTGAGAATGCCCTGAAAAATTGTAGATTCCCCTTTCCTTCAATTCCTCATACTCTTTTGGGAAAACATTTAATAAGATCCCACAAAGACTCTTGCTCTATGAAATCCCAGGAACACTCCTCTCTGGCACAATGACTTTGACATGGGAGCCACTTTTATTTCCTTGGACTTGGCCAGCTCTTCAGAATATGTAGACTGCCTCATCATTCTCTGATTGCCTTCTCATGGTCCAGTCATTTTGCTCAAGCAACACAGACCCTGTGAATTTTCTCTTCATATATGACTTTGATTCTCACTCATCTAGCTATGCCCAAGGAATCCCAGCTCTGTCCTTTAAGTGGAAAACAAGCAGCTCTGTGTTTTGAGCTCAAGTTTACTTCTCTGCAGAATCCTACCCACAAATCATTTTAAACCTAATTCACCTCAAAACGAACAAAGCAACAAAAGAGCCGATCGGTTTCTTTCCCGATACTCTTCCACAGCAGGTTTTGTTTTCTGTCGAGTTGAGCTAATCTCACACATCTTCAGCATAGCTGTCCTGTGGTCTACCAGGATTGGTAAAGACTTTCCGGGTACATGCATTTTTGACTAATGTGGCTGTGTGACCTCAGTCTCAGTCAAGGGAGAGCGATAGGACTGCTTTACAGTGTCTCATGAGAACATAAGAGGGTGACTTCCTAGGATTCTCTTCCTGCTTTGAAAGGTTCTGCTGGTATTTAGATTTATAGTTCACCTTCTTTGGGGATTTTTGTTAGTCCAACATCCTTCCCCAGACAGGCTGCAGTGTTCCTATCTGACCGAATAAGTGGAACTCTGGGGCTCATTAGGGGTGTTTAAAACAAAAGAGAAAAGAAATATTAATCCCAAATATTCCCACTCGACAACCCATGGCAGGCAGGCACATGGTACTTCAAGACTCGCTTGACAGTCAGTGCAGGGCTCACGCTGCGCTTTTCTCCAGGTGGGAAGTCACGTGTTTATATCCCGTGTGTGTCCTAAATTGTGAACTCGTCATGCGTAGTCCAGGCACAGGCATTGCTGTGAGTCTCTTTATTACATGGCCAATCACGGGGCCACATAAAAGTAAGTGCTTCTAAAAACAAAGCCAGACTCCATCTCAAAAAAAAAAAAAAAAAAGGAAGTGTTTCTCAGGCTGGGCATGGTGGTATGCACCTAGTCCCAGCTACTCAGGAGGCTGAGGTGGGAGGATAGCTTGAGCCCAGGAATTCAAGGCTGCGCTGACCTGTGATGGCACCACTGCACTCCAGCCTGTGCGACACAGCGAGACCCAGTCCCTAAATGAAAAACAAATTTTAAAAAGTAAATGCTTTGGAGGGGGTATTGAAGGGAGGTGAAGGAGGTCTGGAGGGAGAGCCGTGTGTCCCACGTCCCAGAAAGTGGGCATCGGACCAACACTGAGCCCTCTGCTGCTGTTGCCCACACCTGCCTCCTTCTTACCCAGACCTTCCCACCCTTGTGTCCCAACTTTAAAACTCCGCAAGCCCCTTGAGGGGCTTCACTTTTAAGACTACCTCCCATGATGTAAGATCCTAGAATTCCCAGCATTCGTGGGCCCAGAAGAGTCCAGGCCACAAAGAAAAAGAGAGAGAAAATAAATAAATGAATAAATAGAACACTAACAAACTGCACTTACAATGATTTCTGGTTCCAATCCAGAAGTCCACCACCAGATATAAATCAGACACCCAACAGCATGCTACTGTCTGAGTTTTTTAAGGGCCTTAAGTGATCACTTTGGAAAAGCCATCTAAATATGCTCACATTTTAACCTGCATGAGCCTATTTTGAAAGCTACCCACGTAATGCAACGCAGTCACACGCTGCCTCTTGCATCACGACTATGTCACTCGCATATTTCCATGCCCAGGGGAACTGTCCCAAGAGTAGCAAAGGCCTTTGAAGTTCTAAAGAAAACCAAAATTGCCTGAACTGTTTATGTTTGGATTGGCCCCAGCAAAGAAAAGCTTTCACTTTTCTGTTAAAATGACCTCCAGTAATGTTGCATCCAAAAATACTTCCCAAGGGTTCTGGGAGTCCTGCTAGGGCACCGATGATAACATCCTAGTGGAATAAACTCCAACAGGGAAGAATGTTACGCTGATTCCCAGAGGCTGATACCAGGCATTTCATGCCACTTAAAATCTCTTGGCAAATTCATCTAATTGCAAGGCATTCTCCTTCCCTGCCCGATTCCGTAGCATCTCAGCCTGCAAACACAGACTTACTGAAATAACTACAATGTTTTAACGTGCTTTATGGAGCTACAGAATTTCCCAGTGGGTCAGTAACTGGTGTATATTGCTTTATATTTTAACAATCTTTCCACAGATTCAGAATCAGGAACCAAATGTATTCATCCTGAGGTGATTTGCTTATTGCCTGTGAATGCCTCTTAAACAAGAGCAACAATGCACTTTTCACTGAAACAGGTTTGATTTCAGCGTTCTGGCCAGCGCTTGGAAAAACCCTCCTGCTTCATTCCCAATGCATAAATCTCAGTCCTGCACTCTCCATTTCCATGAAATGAGAAGGGAAGAGGGGAGGAGCTGAGCTTCATTAACAGGTGGCTGGGTTTGGCAGGGGCATTCGGTTGCATTCTTTCATCCTCCCTTTTCCTCACTCAGTTCAAGCTGGTAATCAGGGGGGAAAATTGTTCTAAAATGCAAATGCAGTGCCTGATAGAAGGGGCTGCTGTGAGGAAGATCTCCATGAGAAACACTGCCTCTGCTAAAACAGCAGACCCCCGGTATTGCATCACTCTTCCTTTGAAAGATTCAAGACACACATAACCAGTATGTCTTCGTTAGAATAGAAGCTCTTTCAATGAAATGGTTTGGCTTTAAATCAAGAGTGGCTTTAAAACAGGACTAGATGGCCCCAAATGGAGCTGCTTCACACAACAAGGTGTGTAATAAATAAGGCATGAATGACTGATCCCAGCAGTGCTCCTACCAGCCAGGCGCTGGGTGTTTTGGAGGAGCATTTCTTTGTTAGCATACCCATAAAGCTCATAAAGTTGCCCGGCAGTTTCGCCCCTCTCTTTTTAAAATCCTGTGGGTTTTCTCTGGAGGCAGGCTGAAGTTCAGGAAACATGCATTTGGACCGAGAGTCTCTTCCACAGTCTGATGGCACGCGCCTCAGTGGCATGTCATCTTCATTTCTTTCTTCTCTTCTCTCCCCCTCCTTTGGTTAAGTCTGTCCACTATTTAACACTAAGTTTATGAAAGAGGTACTGGATCACTACGCCTTTCCTCCCTCTAGGAAACCCCTGCTCAGGCATCAGGATCCAGCCTAAACGCAGCGTTTCCCGGCTTTCCCCTCCACTGTTGACTGCCCCTAAACCAAGGAATTGAAGTCAGGAGCCACGGTGCAAGTCAGACATGTGTGTTAGTTATCGGGATGTTCGTGGGGGGGTTCCGCTGTATATGCATAACGTCTAAAATTTGAATTTGAGTTAATATGTCTCACAAGTCTCATGCAAGTGGCCATTCCTCTGACAAAGAAGGTAGTCTAAGTAGAAAGTGTGGTGGAAAACAAGGAGGATACAAACCAGATGGTGGCAGATGGAAGAGAGAAGAGGGAACAGGCCTCAGACTCCTGAGGGCAGAACCACCAAGACGGGAAGTGAGTGGATGTCGTGCATTGAGCGTGGGAGAGCCCAGGTCTCGGACTTGGACAAATGGGTAGGTGCCACAGTGATTCTCTGAGAAAAGGAACAAGGTGGAGTGGATTTGTAGAGGGAATAATGAGTTTTCTTGTATTCAAATTTTTTGGCTTTCATAGAATTCTACTTTCAAATTCTGAGAAGAATGAGGCTGTAAATCATTTCTAAAATTAAAAAATCACAATATAGAGATGGTGCGATTGTGTTTCAAAGCAACCGTTGTCTCTGCCAAGCTGGGGGAGACATTCTTTCAGAGAAGGCGCCTTCTCTGACTCCAGGGCAACTTCGTTCTCTCTCAAGTCACAATCAGGAAAGGGCAGGATTGAGAGCTGGCAGAATGCTGTTTTTGGAACTCTGTGTTACAGACACATTTCTTTCTCCACCAGCTTCCTTTGCTCTGGCTATCACAAGTGCCAGGTGTAGCCTGCTTTCTGAAACTGCAGAGATTTAAAAGAAAGACCCCGTGGCATCTTCCAAGACTGAACACTAGCTGCTCTGAATGCAGCTCTCCCTCAGTCACTCTCAGTCTTGCCCTTCAGGCACTTCAGAGAGCTCCTTCTGGAAGCATTCCATCCCTTTGTTGCTCTCGGCCAAACTTGCCAAACTCGCTTCTTGGCTTGTAAGTGTGTGCTTGTCTCTATGTAGGTGAGTCATGGCCAGCCTGGAGCTTGCCGCCCTCCCCCCGCGCCCCCCCACCACCACCACCCGCACCCCCCGACCCCCACAACTGGTAGGGTGATTGCATTTAACTCATTTCTCACCTAAGTGCAGCCACCCGTCAGGACTCCCATGAATCTACAAGCGGCTTTTCCATCACTTAGGGTACGCAGACAGATTCCTCTTAAAATGCTCCACACAGAACTCACAACGTGATGCCATGAAGTCTGTATTCTGTGATGTCATTACATGTGGAGGGAACAATGGGTGGGCTTGCTTTGTCAGAGTGGGCTTAAAAACTCGAGCTCTAAGGACTGACTCATCAAGACTTAAATCTCCAACTCTTCTGCCTGTCAGTGTGTCAACTTGGGTGGGAAACTTATTGTCTCAACATTTATTTTCTCATCTGCACAGGGAGATTAAAATACTACCAGCCTCAGCCTTATTTTTGTTGTGAACTAAAAGAAATGATGAGTGTAAAGCGGTTATGCGGTGGCCAGCACATAGCATGTGCCCTGTTAACAATCGTTGTTACCAAAATGTATGTCCCACAAGCTACGTCAAAATGAGCTTCTAAGAAGTTGATTAATAGGTTCACATATATGGTTTGATAGAAGGAGTAAGAACCAGTGTCCAATAGATCAGTAGGGTAATTAGAGTTCTCAATAATCTATTGTACGTTTCAAAATAGCTAGAAGAGAATAATTCAAGCGCTTCTAGCATTAAAAAAGGACAAATATTGAAAATGACAGATATCCCAAGTACACCAATTTGATTCTTACAAATTATATGAATATATTATCACATGGACCCCTGAAAGTGTGGCTATCTACTATGCAACAATTAAAAATAATAAGTGAGGGGGTCACAATGGAAATACATTTCTACGTAGAAAAATACATCCATTGATCACCAGAATGTTAAATGTACATTTCACTTCTTTTCAATGATTGAATCATATACTATTGGAAAAACTTGAACCTGAGTTTGGAACACTAGCGAGGAGTGGCTTAAATCAGTTGAATATTCAGAGCTGGTAAAACAGTTCTGTGTATATATATGTGTGTGTACACACTCACACACACACACAGAATCAACAGCAAGTCTGCAGTTCATTCATGCCGCCTCTTCTACCTCTCTGGATTCTGTGGTTCTGAGACCAGAACAGAGTACGCAGAACAGGAACGTAAACCTGAATGTGTGCAATGGGCCTGACAAACAAGAAGGAGCAACCTGGAGCTCTGATCACTCAACCTCCCCGGACCTTGGATTCTTGGGCTATAAAATTATCTGTGTGGCCTCTCCCATCTTAACATGCCACCATTTCAAGAAGACAGGTTTTAATTGCAAGTAGCAGGTAGCAGTTCTCAAACTTTCTTTGCAAAGGTCATGCAAGGTGTTTATTTAAACACAAACTCCTGGAAACCACCCTGAGAAACGGATCATTGTGGACCTTGGTGCCCTCTGAAAACCAACTTGAAGAAAGGAATCGAAGCTGCATTGGCCCGTTGTCGTCAGCACATTGTTTTCTGCACCCAAAACACTCTCTTCCAGGTGCCCCTACTCACCTGTCACCTCTTGAGCCCCACATTGCTGCCTCCTATGCACTTCCGCTATTGTCCTGTTCTAGATATGGGCTTTTCTGCTTTTCTTTTGTATTTTTTTTTCCAGTTAGCTAAAATAATAAGCCACTGGATTAGAAATAGGTGTGTTATTTCAACAAGTAATTATTTTCCTGAAAATGAAAGCTGGTGGGTCTATTTTAAGAGTTAATTAGCTGACAGGGGAACCAAATTTACCCTACAGTGCATTTCAACCTGCATTTCAGAAAAGTAATAGGGAATCACCTGCCAAGTTGCAGAGAATCCGTGAGAACAGAGAAGCAAACAGGGCAGCCAGTGCACCCAGCCAATCAGAATTCACCAGAGACCTGATCTAATTTTCCTCAGGGAGAGTAATAATAATGGTAATAAAGATTTTCTTTCATTTAATGACTACAAGTCATCTTTCTCTCATTGCCATACTGCAAGTGGAGTGGTAGCCATAGAGAATGGCAGGCTCATGGCTGCCGGAAGCTGCAGACTTCACACAAGTCAATGAGGGAGCTTGGAGCTGTCCTCTCTGGTGAGGACTTCAGAGAGTCCACCTCTGCACTGCAGTCTGATGAGCACCCAGAATCCTGATGTGTCTTCTTGTTAGAAGGGGTCTCCTGGGTTTGTGCCCTACCAGGTGACATTCTGGCATTGCCCTGCTCCCTGGGTGAAGTCTCTATAATTCCTTTCCATTGTGGGGAGACACTCAGGCTACACTAACCCTTTTGGATGAGTTTCTTTAGTTTGTGCGGAGGCGTCACAAAACTGGGTGGAGGGCATTCCATCCCGACCAGGTGACTCCAGCCAAATGGGCAGCCTTAGTGACTGCTTCCACCACACACCCAGCATTACCATCTGCTCCGTACCACCCTGTAATGGGGACAGGCCTCTGCAATGATCTTATTGACAAGGGCACAACTGTCACTTACCCCAACACAATGGTCTACTTTGCAGAGGGAAATAATAAAGTCATTATCAGCTACATTTTGATAGACTCTTTCTTAACTGAGGTCATGCCCTGGCCTTCCAGCAGTGGTCTACAGTGAGCCCTGAGTCCGGCCCTTGCTCTAGTTCACCATATATTTCTCAGTACACATCATCAACATACACTACACTACATCAACATAATTCTGAACGTGAATCTCGTGTGTGCCTAATGGAAAGGATGGTGCCTGATGGTCAGGCACTTGGTCCAACTGCAGAGACAATCATTGAGTCTTCCAAGAGGGCAGAATGGGGCTGAGTCTGAGGCAAAACCCAAGGCCCTGTGCCCACAGCCTGGACCTGCTCTGGCCAAGGTCAAATGCATTCCACAGTCTAGACACAGCAGTCAAGCATGAATGACCTGGAGAAGAGGGAACTCCCTCTCTGGTCTCAGTTTCCCCTTCTGTAAAGTCAGAGGATTGCTACTCAAAGCGTGATCTGTAGACCTGCAGTATCACTGTTCACAGACCATAAGCAAATCCGGCCCCACCCCGGGACAGGATGACTGTCCTGTCTGAGCCTCAGTTTCCTCATCTGTAAAGTGGGGCTAAGACCGCTTTTTAGCTTTGGGATGACAAATGAGTGAGATAACATGAGATAACATATATTAAGTACCCGGTACAGTGAGTGTAAATGCTCAATAAATGGGACCAAATGAGCTAATCTTTAAAAATCTTCCTTCTGACTTGGGTTTGACGGCATGATTACAGCATTTACAATGGGATGTGGGCTTGCAAATGTCTGCAACTCTCTCCTCTGGACGTTGTACTTCCTTTCAAGAGGCCAGTTAGAGTTAAAATCACTGTAATTGATGTAAGACTCCATCTCAGCTTTGAGAAACTCAAATATAAAGAAGGAAGTATTTCTTTTTTCAGAGATTTGTACTTAGGAAAGCCAAGCAGCTTCACTTTTCCCCCAAAACGTTATTGCTTGCACTGTGGGACCTGATCCAGTGGGCTGTCATGGACGAACGGCAACACCCACTGGGACCCTATTCCCTTTGTGTAAACAGAGCAGCTCCAAACCGCGGCCCTCCTGGGCCCCCTAGCGGCAGCAGCGATGGGCACAACGTTCAAAGATCCCTCAAAGCCCTCGGGGAGTGGCCCTGGCAAAGGCAGCCCAGGAATGCCAGGCGGTTTTGCACCCCTCAGTGCCCCCAGTCTTCGGAAAGGTTGACCCCCGAGGCAGGGGCGCTTTCCCTGAGTCGGGACAGGTTCAGTGACTCTCAGCTTGTAACCTCCTGCCCCTGTCTGCCCCATCCTGAAGACACAGCCAAAGACCCAAACTCTATGCTTTGAGTATCAGCAATATCCCCAGATGCTAATATAGAAACGTGGAAACGCAACGGCTTTGGAATCAGAAATACTTACATTCCAGTCCTGGCTAACCCATTTACTAGTTGAATATTCTTAGGCTAGTTACTTAATCACTCCAGGCCTCCATCTTCTCACTATAAAACAGGGGTGACAGTGCTTACCTCACAGGGGCGTTTCAATTATTAAATGAGAACATGCATATATATGTATGTATATAAAATTTCATACAGCTATAAACTAAAATATAGGTATCTCTATCAGTGAATATACACCCAGAGAGCGAAGGCACCTGGCCCTTGGGGAACACACACTTGCAGCTACTGATTACCGTTAACTACCCAGGTGAACACACCTAAAAAAATTGAAAAATTGTTTTTGCAGTTTTCATGTTAGGATCTGAAACAACCTATTAGTTACACTAGGACTTGACTGGTGGGGATAAGCCTCGGATACAGGAGGCCTGGGGCAAACAAGTTTTCTAGTTCTCTGACTCTACAAGTGCCATCTCCTCAAGGGAACTTTAAAAGCAGCCCTGAAGATGCAAAGGCATAAGAAAGATACAATGGACTTCGGGGACATGGGAAAAGGGTGCGGGGGTGGGGGGTGAGGGATAAAGGACTACAAATTGGGTACAGTGTACACTGCTTGGGTGATGGGTGCACCAAAATCTCAGAAATCACCACTAAAGAACTTACTCATGTAACCAAACACCACCTGTTCCCAAAAAAACCTATGGAAATAAAATAATAATAATAATAAATTTTAAAAAAAAATTTAAAACAGCCCTGAAAGGAAAGAAAATCACAAAAGAATAGCTGTGAGTATTTGGATGCTAAGAGGGGAGTGTGTGACCCAGTTTGTCTTAGGAAAAGGGATATGGGGTTTGAGGCTTTGCAGGTGCACAGAACTGGGGAATTTTAATTAGAAGCTAGACTCTCTCCTTCTTGATCCTTCCCAGCTCCCTGGGCCATTGCCCAAACAGGGCTCAATCTAAAGTCCATGAGTCAACAACACATAGTAAGGGTGTCTCTTTGCCAGTCGGTAGAAAACCTAAAATGTAGATAAGATGCAGGTGTTGATACAATCATCCTAAAGTCTGCCCTCTGGTTTTGCTAGAGAAATCCATGATCAATAATCTATTCTCCTAACCCATCCAACAAGAATCAACAACCCCTTTTATCTGAAGGAATCACTAGATGAAAGAACACAAGCTAAATGAATGCTATCTCTGCAATCTTTAGAAAAATAAAGTTATTAATGTAATCCAGTGAAAAGAGTATTGAGCATGTACTAGAGTAGGAAGATGTGGATAAAATCCAGTCCTCGAGAAGATCACAACTCACTGGAGGAGAGAAACATACTTACTCCCTAAATCAATAGTATAAAATAAATGCACACTTAGAGGGACAAAAGAGTACTAAGTAAACATTAAGAAAGGAAAAGTTCCTTCAAACTGCATTTTGGTGAAGCTGCTATATGCCAAGTTTTGCGCTCCACAAAGGAAAAGAAAAATGAATCAGATTTCGTCCTCAGCTGTGAGGAATTTTGTATCTCTCTGGGAAGACAGATGTTTAGGAAAAAAGTTATAATCCGATGTGATGATGGTAAAGCAGTGTTCAGAGGCTACAAGAAGCAGAGGAAGGAAGAGGCATGTATCCATGCATATCAGGGAGGGCATCATGGAGGAAATGGCCTTGGGGGGGCGGGTAGGGAAATTGACTGACCAGCTCCTAACCTTTGGGCACCACCTTAAACCCAAATGGTGATGTTTAACCTCATGATATTGGCAATGGAGTCCAGAAAGTGTTCCACCACTTCAGGTTTAACTCTATTAAATTATTTATTCAGTATCCCTGACATTAAGCTTTGGTTCTCTGAAGTGGTTTTATCTTCTGCTGGCCAACAGTTGTCAAAGCTAAAAGAATTTCCTCTTACGCTCACTCTGTTTGTAGAAGAAATGGATGATATCTACTTTCTACAAATCATTACTTAATGGAGTGTTGCAAGACCACCATCTTTTGACCACATTCTCTTAATGAAGATGGAAAGCATAAATGGACAAAACCAAGCACTTCTATTCTGGTCTTGCCAAAACTAGCCAAATGGTGTTGTATAACTTGCACTTAAATATCACTTGTCACATGGGTGACTGGTAGAGGCTGCCAGGGCATGACAGTTGTCACGAGGAGGTCTCCCAATCAGCAGGTCGGGAGAGGTAGAAGCTGTTCCCGTTGCTGGAGCTTTCTTTATGGATGTTGATACTGAATCTGGAGGTAGTTCTTTAAGTTTGTTTAAAAGTGGCTCAGGAGTTCAAGTCCAGGCTGGACAACATGGCAAAAACCCATCTCTACAAAAAATACAAAAATTAGCTGGGTGTGGTGGTGCGCCTGTAGTCCCACCTACTTGGGAGGCTGAGGAGGGAGGATCACTTGAGCCAGGAGGTCAAGGCTGCAGTGAGCTGAGATTGCACCACTGGGCTCCAGCCTGGGCAACAGAGTGAGACCCTGTCTCTCTCTCTCTCTCTCTCTCTCTCTCTCACACACACACACACACACACACACACGAGTGGAAGGCATCGTCCAGTATTGCAGTTACCAAGTGCTGTGCCAGTGTACAATATGAAGTTCTAGTCCTTCGTTATCTTAATGACTTTTTCTTTAGCTTCAACAAATGCCTTTTATTGTTGATCAATTTCCATGCAAAACACTTTACTTTAAAAAGCCCATATGGATACTAATTTTAATTTGACATAGAAAGTAAGGAAATGTTCAACACCAGCATGCAAATATTAGCAGAATTGATTCATTTTGCTTTGAGCTAGAGTCTGTTGTAATTTTGCTTTCAACCTGCTGAATATTTCACTTTATTGTTATCTGCCCAGTTTGAATATCAATCCTTTTTACTTTTTAGGAAATATGCATATTTTAATGACAAAAGCGTTACATGTATACTGTCAAATATTATTCCCTACATTCAAAAACTAAACACAAAACAAACAAAAAAGACTCAATGCGGAAATGGTGGATTTGGGACTAGGGCAGGGAAACTTCAGGATGAGCCTGGGACTCATTGTCATTCCAGATGTGAGGAAGTGTTCCGCACAAGGGTGAGAAGACCCTACAGAAACCAGCACAAAGGGATCCCACTGGCCATGTCATGAAGGGGATCCCAGGGGCCACATCAGACAATTTGAGCAAGGAAATAATGACACTACCGCATGAAATAGGAATCCATGAGTCTATGCTGAGGTAAGTAAATGAGTAAATAAATGCAAAGTGGAGAATGCTTTTTTTCCTCCGTCAGTGGAATACAATTAGTGAATCGTTGTACGAATTCACCCAATGATGCTGAATTGGTGGGTGAAAGTTCAAGAGAAATGCGACAGTCCATACTCTTAGTACGCCTCCGTGCCGTAGAGGAAATCTGGCAGGCACCTCTTTAACCAAGTGATCAAGGTTAATTAACTTCGCCAGTAACTCGACAAACCGCAACCACCTATTTTGTGGTAGGATGCATGAAAGGAACATATTGTCACTTCATGAGATTGCCACCAAAATTGCATAATCTGAGTGTAATCATCAGACAAAACCAAATCGAGGAGCATTCTTTAAGACAACAGGCCTCTAACATACAAAAATGTCAAGGTCTTGAAAGACAAGAAAAGACACAGAAGACGTCCAGCCAGAAAGAAACTAAAAATGTAGGACAGCTAAATTCAACGTGTGGACCGGATTGAATCCTCCTACTAGAAAGGACATTATTGCAATGACGGGAACCTTGGATTGAGTCTGTAGGTTAGATTGTAATACTATATTAATGTTGATTTTCTGATTTTGATGGTTGCATTGGGATTATGCAGAGGAGTGTCCCAGGTTGTAGGAAATATTTGCTAAAGTATTTGGGCTCATGGACATTGTGCTGCAACTTACAAATTGTTCAAAAATAAAGCTCTTTGAACTAGTCCTGCAACATTTTAGCAAGCAGGAGATTATTTCAAAATAAAAACAACCAGATGATAGGACTCCGAACGATATAAAAAATAAACTGTCAGAGGTGATAAGGGAAATAAAAAAAGACAAAATTTGTGACAAAATTTGGAAGCCATATTTGACACAGAATGTATCATTGATGCTGTTTAAAATTAACTCAGCGATGTTGAGACGTAACATCCACCATTTATCTGTGGATAAGAGACATCACAACGACCATTTATCTGTGGAGAAAGCAGTGAAAAACCAAACAGATAAATGTGAAAAACGATTACAAGAAGGACAAATAAAAGAAAATCAAAATGTTCAAAATTGTTCCTGAAGAAGAAAATAAAACAGAGGCAACAAAAAATAACCAGTTTTACTGTGAGAAAACTTTCCAGGAAAAAACAAACAAACAAAACAAAACAAAAAACAGGAATCTGTAGATTTGGGAAAAAAGAAAAAAGAAAATACCCCATCCTTCCAGTAAAATTAATAGAGAATTCATTGCTTAATTCAATATAAAAGAAGACTCCTTCAGCATCTTGACATAATAACAAATCACCAGCAGTTTAGAGAAAATTTTAGCCTCAGGTATCTCAGCAGTACTGGATGCCACAAAAGAATGAAGATATGCTTGCACAGTGGTAACGAAAAAAAATGGTTTGCAAGTATTCCATGTCAATTTTATGAGTCATCATTTATTGGCAAGGAAAAAGAAAACATTCCTACCTTTCCAAGGACTGAGGATAGAGGCGACACATGGGATATATATGCGAAGACTATGGCAGAGTCTGCTGGTTGTGTCTCCTGCTTCCGTCAGGGACTAAACTCTGAAATGAAGAAGGCACACAGCCATCCAGAGTTACAATGACACTTTCCAAATTCCCTTCCATTCAGCTGTTGCCATGTTGATCAAGTTCTCTCTAAAGGAATCCAAGAAGTGCTGTGAGGGGCTTACAGGGAGGGGCCTGTCCTCTGTCTCTCTCCTTCTTCCGAGGAGGCCAGAGTGCCAGCAGTCTAGATCTTTAGGATTTACTTCATGAAGACACAGTCACAGCCCGGGCCACCCTGCTTCCAGACTTCTTTTGCGAGAGAGAAATAAACTCCTATCTTGATTAAGCCTCACTTATTTTCTGATTTCAAACACCTGTAATAAATTGACACTGAAATGATGCCAAATAAAGTATTAAATCACAAATGCAGAAATCATGTGTATGAAAGAAATCATAGTGAATGTTAAACTCAATTAAACATAAGATAAGTTGGCTGGGCACAGTGGCTCGTGCCTGTAATCCCAGCATTTTGGGAGGCTGAGCTGGGCAGATCACCTGAGATCAGGAGTTCGAGACCAGCCTGTCCAACATGGTGAAACCCTGTGTCTACTAAAAACACAAAAAATTAGTGGGACATGGGGGCAGGTGCCTGTAATCCCAGCTACTTGGGAGGCTGAGGCAGGAGAATCGCTTGAACTCAGGAAACGGAGGTTGCAGTGAGCCGAGATCATGCCATTGCACTCCAGCCTGGGTGACAAGACCTAAACTCCATCTCAAAAAATAAATAAATAAATAAATAAAATTTAAAATTTTTTAAAAACCGTAGGATAAGTTAAAACAGTTGGGGTAAATAGAGTTAAAATGCCATGACATGCTATTATAACATTCTTGAAGTAATGTATAAATAATTTGATGATTGTGGACTGCAATAAAATCCACACTGTCAGCAGGTGGATGCAGCCAACTGATGAATACAGGTTACAAAGTGGAGATATAAGGAAAATGTGCTGATTTGTTAATCTTTCATGGGAGAAATCAATATATTCAGTTTCATTTTTAAAATCGATGAATTAAGGAATATGGGTTTAAGAATATTACTTGATATGTCTGTGTCAACTAGGATTAGGTTTAGCTGATACTGAAAGAAAACCAAATTGTAATGGTTTAACACTTTAAGAGATTTACTTTTTTTTTTTTTTCCAAATAAACTGAAGCTAGAGACAGGGAGTCCAAGGCTAGTACAGTTCAAATTGGTATAGAAATACGGGCTTATTCTTCCTGTTTTTCCTTTCAGCCTGTGGTATTTATCTCAAAATCATCCCATGTTCATAAGATAGGCATTGCAGCTTCAGCCATCACATCTGCTTCCAAGCACAAAAAAGAGAAGTAAAAGGGAGAAATGTTCAGCTAAGTTGTCTTACATCCCATTGTTTACACATAAATGCAAGGGAAGGTGAAAAAAATAGTCTTTAAGCCAAGCATATTTATATTCCTCAATAAGAACGGGGTTCTGTTAAGGACAAAGACGAGCATGAATATTGAGAAGTGTGAAGACCTATACGGTGGCTGCATAGTCACCAAACTAACAAGAGAGAAGAAAACAAAACTCAGAAGACAATTTAGCAAACTGCAAATATACCTTATTTCTAGTTGTTCCACAATGTTAAGAAAAAAAATGGATTGCTGAATGCTATGGGTTGAATTGTGTCCCACAAAAATTCATACACTGAAGTCCTAACCCTAGTGCTTCAGAACATGATTTGGAAATAAGGTCATTGAAGATGTAGTTACTCAAGATGTAATTAGTTAAGGTTTCCTTTTTGATAAGACACATTTCCTTTTTTATAGGACTCACCAAGGAAGATGAGTTCCTAATCTAACATAACTAGTGTCTTATCAAAAAGGAAAATGTGGACAAAAACATACACACAAACACACAAAAAAGAACACCACATGAAGATGAAGGCAGGGATCAAGTGATGCTTCTGCAAGCCAAGAGATGCCAAAGATTGCCAGAAAGCCACCAAAAGCTGGGGAAGAGGCATGAGATGTATCGTCCTCATAGCCTTCAGAAGAACCAACCCTGCCAGCACCTTGATATTGAACCTCTAGTCTCCAGTACTGTGAGAAAATGAATTTCTGCTGTTTAAGCCACCCATCCTATGGTACCATGTTATGACAGCCCCAACAAATATACTGGGGATCGTTGCTTTTCTTGTTACATATTTCTGCAGGATTGACTTTATAACTTTTTATTTTTATAAATGTATAAAGTTTATTTTATATATTCATATCTTTTACAAACAGAATAAAAATAAAGATGTTTTCTAAATAGGATGAGTTTGGTAATTTTTAATATTTGTTTAATTCTATAAGTTTACATTTCATAGGAATCATTGGCCTAAAAATTTTGACCAAATTTAACAGTGAAGCTATCTGGACACGAAACATGTCCTTTAGAGAGGACGTTTTTGTTGGCACCTTTTCTAGGTTTGACCTAGACCTAGGAGTCTAGGTCATTTCTTGTTTTTAATTTTTAGAAATTATGATCCTCCCTAGAAAAGCATCTGCTTAGAATTAAAAGGTGGTCGTAGTGATGTCAGCCTGGTTGTTTTATTTTCCCAAATCTACACATAAAAACAGACAGAGCACTTAGTTATCCAAACCAAAAGAAAAAAAAAATCTATGGTCAATTTTTACAATAAAACTAGATGCTAAGGTATCTCCACAGACTCTAAAATAAAAGTAGATGGGGACAAATTACCTCCAGCACAAGACGGGCCTATCATAAGTATTTGCATGGGAAAGAAAGGCAAAAAGGAAGATCTAAGAACAGAAAATCCAACAGTAGTCCATAGGTGTCCTTGGGAAAGGAGAGGGGTTGGAGCTGAGACCAGTGAATGAATCCAGGAGGGCTTCCCTGCTCAATGACAGTGAGTGCAAGACCCCAGGGGTCGCAGGCTGCACCAGGGTGACCTGGGAACTCCTAAAACTGACCTGCTCCCCCTTCCCCCGAACCCGGGAGAAAATGCTAGAAATGCAATCAGAATGGAGAAGGGCAAAGAAACCACACATGAAGGAAGGAGAAGATTTCAATAAAAGAATGGAGGGGAAGAGGAACAGGAGAGTGCAGAGCCCAGACCACCACTCCTTCTCACACTGGGGGAAACTGAAGAGGAAGCTCTTTGACGTTGCAAAAGATGTCTGAACAAAGTTCTGAACATTAAGGAAACGTATTTCACACGAAACAAACTGGGTAGAAAAGTATCTCAAGTAACAAAATTACTTTAAGAAAACTACAAATATGGAGCAGAATAACAACCCTACTATAAAAAGACACCAAAAATATCAAAACTGTAACTTACTATTTCTAAACCATTTAAACATTTAGGAGAACAGTAAAAGGCATTTTTTTAAACCCATGAATAATAGATAGAAACATTCAATAATGAGACGGCGGAACTCAAAAACAATTAGAATAAAAGAAAAGCATTTTAGAAATAAAGACTAAACTAGAAGGAACACAAGAAAAAATAACACAACACAGAACACCTTAAGAGTAGAAAAGTGAAAAAAAATCATAATCCAAAATGATAAAAAAAAAGTTACAGAAAAAAGTGAAAAATCTTGAAGATAGGCAATAACAATTCAACATATGTTTAAAAGGAGTCCCTGAGGAAGAAAACTAAAGAAAAGCCATACAACAAATAATAAAAACTATAGTTCAAAGAAACTTTCGTGAAACAAAAAATATTTGAACTCACATACTAAATACACTGAGTCCTACAAATACCACCCGAGAATAACCAGCACCAAGACATTTACTATTAAAATTACTTAACTTGTTTTTTAAAAATCCATTGGACATGTACGTGAAAGGGTCACTTAACATATTAAGAAAACAAAACTGGCTTATTATCAGATTTTCTACACTAATGCTTTATCCCTGAAGAGCAGAATAACATAGTTAAGGTTGTCAAGAGAAAAAAAAATGAGCCTAGAATTTTGTACTCAGCAAATCTGATCTTCCAGTATAATGTACACTTGAGTAATTCTGAGACTACTGCTTCCACGAAAACTTCCTAAGGAATCTACCAGAAAACAAGCTTAGGGCAAATAAAATAACTAGAGATATATTGACTTAACTAGTAGTTAAATATGTAGTTACTTGGTGGAACAAGGTTAAATGAGGCTAAAAAGGGAGAGATCATAGTCTGTAATGGCCATATGATCTACAGCACAGATATAGGAAAAGCATGTACAAGATGGGGAAAATGGGCATAGCAAATATAAATATTTGTATGTTCAGGAAATCAAAATTTACAGTTGTATTAGTCCATTCTCACATTGCTATAAAGAAATACCTAAGACCGGGTAATTTATAAAGCAAAGAGGTTTAACTGGGTCACTGTCCGGCAGCCTGTACAGGAAGCATGACTGTGGAGGCCTCAGGAAACTCAAAATCATGGTAGAAGGCAGAGAGGGAGCAGGTGCATGACATGGCCAGAGCAGGAGCAAGAGAGGGGAGGGGGATGCCACCCACTTTTAAGCAGCCAGATCTCGTGACAACTCACTCACTACTGCAGGACAGCACCAAGGGGACACTGCTAAACCATTCATGAGAAACTCACCCCCATAATCCAATCACCTCCCTCCAGGCCACACCTCTAACACTGGGGATTACACTTCAACCTGAGAGATCAATAGTAAGTGGATCAGTATTGCTATTCTGAGATCTGCAAAGTGGGATAAAGCAAATAATTATGGAATATTCTAATTATTTTTTCTCCTGTATCAGGAGTCTTCAAATTATCCCTGTTTTGTAAATAAAGTTTTATTGGAACACAGCCATGCCCATTCATTTACATAGGGTCAGTGGCTGCTTTCACAGTGCACTGACAGAGTTGAGTGGTTACAACAGAGACCATGTGCCCTGCAAGCCTGAAATACATGCTATCTTGTCCTTTAAAGAAAAGTTTTCTGATATTTATGCTATATCCTTGAAAACCAGGATTGTCAGTGAGAAGAAATGAGATATAGATGTAATATAAGTAAGTGGTCAGATAGAAACAGTGTGGTCCCTTGGCTTGCACAGTGGCTCACACCTGTAATCCCAGCACTTTGGGAGGCCAAGGAGGGAGGATCACTTGAGGTCAGGAGTTCGAGACCAGCCTGACCAACTTGGCGAAATCCCGTCTCTACAAAAAATACAAAAATTAGCTGGGCGTGGTGGCATGCACCTGTGCTCCCAGCTACTCAGGAGGCTGAAGTGAGAGGATCGCTTGAACCCAGGAGGTTGTGGCTACAATGAGTTGAGATTATGCCACTGAACTTCAGCCTGGTGACAGAGTGAGACCCTGTCAAGGAAAGAAAGAGAGAAAGAAAGAGAGAGGGAGAGAGGGAAGGAGAATAAAGAAAGAAAGAAAAGAAAGAAAGAAAGAAAGAAAGAAAGAAAGAAAGAAAGAAAGAAAGAAAGAAAGAAAGGGAGAGAGAGAGAAAGAAAGGGAAAGGAAAGAAAGTGAAAGGGAAAGGAAAGGAAAGGAAAGGAAAGAAAGAAAGAAAGAAAGAAAGAAAGAAAGAAAGAAAGAAAGAAAGAAAGAAAGAAAGAAAGAAAGAGAAAGGGAGAGAGAGAGAAACGGAGAGAGAGAAAGGGAGAAAGGGAAGGGAAGGGAAAAAGAAAAGAAAAGAAAAGAAAAGAAAAGAAAAGAAAAAAGAAAAACAGTGTGGTCCCAAATTTGAAATGGAAATATCAGCATGAACGACTGAGGTGCTCTGTCTTCTACTTCAAATCTAGTTCTGTCCCCTGAAAAGGCCTAAAATCAATGATCATAAAACTAGTAAGGTATATGTAACACCCAGATCATGGCCCTAAAATATGATTTCTCGTTTAAAAAAAAGAAAAAAAATGAAACAAAACATAGGCTTCTTATAAAAATGGCTGATTCCAGGTCTGAAGCAGGAAATGTACAAGACAAGCCAGGTTTACCTGGAAATATCAGATGGCAAAGCAGCTGCCAGAAGCCACCAGGTGCAAAGGATTCAGGAGCCACCAGGAAGGGCTCCCACTGGCCACAGAAGGAATCATTTGTTTTACTACCCAAAAAAAAATGTCCATAAATTGAAACCCTTCAAATATATTTTAAAGCATGAGTTTATGGCAATATTTTTAAAAACGATCACCTTCTGAGGATGACAAGGAGTCATTATCATGAAAACTAGTCAAAAGGAAAGAATCAAACATTTTTCCTGCCTTTTCTACATTCAATTATAATTCATAAAAAGGTACCCTGGGATACCCAAAGAGATGAAGGAACGCTTTTCCTTACACAGACATTTTAGAGAATAAATAAAACTGAATGACAGGATGAGGATACCACCACTAGGAACCTTCAGGAAATTTGCAAAGCAAGCTTGAACTGACATCAATAAAAGAGTGTGAAATGAGTGCTCTGTGCCCCTGGGGCAAGCACAGCGTGTCACCACTTAGAGTCTAACCAAGGGGTGGTACTTGGGCTGGATCACACTTCAAGATCCTGCTGCCAATTTGCAGCAAATAAAGAAAAAAGGTACATGTTGATGATATGGTTTGGCTGTGTCTGCACCCAAATCTTATCTTGAATTGTAACAGTTCCCACGTGTTGTGGGAGGAACCTGGTGGGAGGTAATTGAATCATGGGGGCGGGTCTTTCTCATGCTGTTCTCATGATAGTGAGTATGTCTCATGAGATCTGATGGTTTTAAAAGAAAAAGTTGCCCTGCACAAGCTCTCTTCTTTTGTCTGCCCCAACGTGAGACGTGCCTTTCACCTTGCACCATGATCGTCAGGCCTCCCCCACCACATGGAACTGTAAGTCCAATAAACCTCTTTCTTTTGTAAATTGCCCAGTCTCAGGGAATCTTTTTCAGCAGTGTAAAAACACATTAATACAGTTTAATTGTGCCATGAGTCTGAAATCCGCATAATCCAAACCGTGGGAAAACCTGCTCACGTAAGGACTCAGATTCCTCAGCAAATAAATTGTAAGATGTGGAAGGGAAGCGATAGATCACAAGGCACCTGAAACACATAGCAGTCTTTTTTATTTTAATGAGCAAGATTTGAGTAGATGTATAACGTACAAATAAAGAAATGCAAGGAAAGGAATACAGTAAAATGAGGAGAGTAGTTAGCATCTGGGGAGGGAGGGGACCCAGATGGCTTAGGGCATATGCACAGGCTTCTATTTCCTGCCCTAATGGGAGGTTACAAAAAGAGTCTGACTTCTAATAACTCACTAAGCCATAGAAAAAGTTAGCATGGGGATCACCCTGGAGAGAGAACAATACTGCCTGGGTGGTAGCACAATGGGGGTTTCTGGGGTGCTGGTATTGAGAGGTGACAGCATGCTGGCAGCCCTCGCAGCCCTCGCTTGCTCTGGGCGCCTCCTCGGCCTCGGCGCCCACCCTGGCCGTGCTTGAGGAGCCCTTCAGCCTGCCGCTGCACTGTGGGAGCCCCTCTCTGGGTTGGCCGAGGCTGGAGCCGGCTCCCTCAGCCTGCAGGGAGGTGTGGAGGGAGAGGCGCGGACGGGAACTGGGGCTGCACACGGTGCTGGCAGGCCAGCACAAGTTCCGGGTGGGCGTGGGCTTGGCGGGCGTCCCACTCGGAGCAGCAGGCCGGCAGCACCGGCCCTGGGCAGTGAGGGGCTTAGCACCTGGGCCAGCAGCTGCAGAGAGTGCACCAGGTCCCTCAGCAGTGCCGGCCCACCGGCGCTGTGCTCAAATTCTCACCAGGCCTCAGCTGCCTCCCCGCAGGGCAGGGCTGGGGACCAGCAGCCTGCCATGCCCGAGCCTCCCCCAGCTGCCGTGGGCTCCTGCATGGCCCGAGCCTCCCCAAGTAGGGCTGCCCCCTGCTCCACGGTGCCTCGTCCTATCGACTGCCCAAGGGCTGAGGAGTGTAGGTGCACGGATCGGGACTGGCAGGCAGCTCCGCCTGTGGCCCCGTGCAGGATCCACTAGGTGAAGCCAGCTGGGCTCCTGAGTCTAGTGGGGACTTGGATAAACTTTATGTCTAGCTAAGGGATTGTAAATGCACCAATCAGCACTCTGTGTCTAGCTAATCTGGTGAGGACTTGGAGACTCTTTATGTCTAGCTGAGGGATTGTATATACACCAATCAGCACTCTGTGTCTACCTCAGGGTTTGCGAACACACCACCAGCACCCTGTGTCTAGCTCAAGGTTTGTAAATGCACCAATCAGTGCTCTGTGGGTACTTGGAGAACTTTTGTGTCTGGCTCAAGGATTGTAAACGCACCAGTCAGCACCCTGTCAAAACGGAACAATCACCAGCTCTCTGTAAAACAGACCAATCAGCTCTCTGTAAAATGGACCAATCAGCAGGATGTGGGTGGGGCCAGATAAGGGAATAAAAGCAGGCTGCCCGAGCCAGCAGTGGCAACACGCTAGGGTCCCCTTCCACACTGTAGAAGCTTTGTTCTTTCCCTCTTTGAAATAAATCTTGCTGCTGTTCACTCTTTGGGTCTCCACTGCCTTTATGAGCTGTAACACTCACCGCGAAGGTCTGCAGCTTCACTCCTGAGGCCAGCGAGACCACGAACCCACTGGGAGGAATGAACAACTCCGGACTGGAGGAACGAACAACTCCAGACGCACTGCCTTAAGAGCTGTAACACTCTCCGCAAAGGTCTGCAGCTTCACTCCTGAAGCCAGTGAGACCACGAACCCACCAGAAAGAAGAAATTCCGAACATGTCCGAATATCAGAAGGAACAAACTTCAGACACACTATCTTTAAGAACTGTAACACTCACCACAAGGGTCTGCGGCTTCATTCTTGAAGTCAGTGAGACCAAGGACCCACCAATTCCGGACACAGTATTTTTTTGATGAGGGTGCTGGCTGTACAAGTCTTTTCAGTTCATGAAAAAGCATTGAGTTTTACATGGGTGCAGTTTTCTTTATGTAAGCTATGCCTTCGTATTTTAATGTTTTTCAAATTTACACATAAGGTTTAATATACAGAGGTATAGATACAGAATTAAAACCTTGGACAGTATTCAATTTTATGTTTCTATTTACCTGTTTAACAAATCACTTAATTTTCAAGTGCTGCAACAATTGTGCTTCTAGCAACTTCTTACTTCTAATGGTTTTTGCTTTGTAAATGCGGGCACTATTTGGTGCATAAAAGGGCATAATATAAGTTTATTGGTGATAGTATCTTTTATCGATATGAAATGATAAAATTTTGGAGACTTTCCACTATTAACTGAGTTTTCCTTGATACAGTCTGGTCTGAAATTCACATTTCTTCTCCAATCCCTTCTCACTCCACCCCACCCCACTCTTGCCCATCCGATTTCCAGGTTTTTTTTTTTAGTTCCCTGATACATATTTGTCCATCTTTTCTTTATTGGAGCCCTACAGCACTGAGGAAGAAGCATTCCACACCACCAGAATCACCAAGTTCCAGACAAAACAGAGGACCCTGTCTTCTCTAGGGAGACATTTTTGTGATTAGCTCTTTTTAAATGCTGTCATAAAATCTCACACAGCTTCAGATCTTGCTGCTTTCATTTTGTACACATTTTTATTCCATATGCATTTTATTCCATGTCAACTATATTCCTTGTATGTTATTATAGAGACCAATAAGGGAGAGTGCAGGCACTCAACTTACAGCTTAGAGGAGAAGACAGACAAATAAACACAGTGCTGATAGAGTGTGATTCCTGCTCTGGTAGAGAATCTGATGAAGTCTAGGGTCATGGGCAGGTATTCCGAGAGGCTCCTAACCTAGCCTGGGGGACGGGGAGTGGCATGGTAAGGAAAATCATCATTCTTTATACACCTGCAGGAAAAAAAGTCAGTTTCATTTAAGAAGATCCTTGATGAAACTGTAAGATGCAGATATAAGTAAACACAGATTTTAGGCCGGGTGCCATGGCTTACACCTGTAATCCCAGCATTTTGGGATGCTGAGACGGGCGGATCATGGGTTCAAGAAATCGAGACCATCCTGGCCAACATGGTGAAACCCTGTCTCTACTAAAAATACAAAAATTAGCTGGGCGTGGTGGCGCATGCCTGTAATCCCAGTTACTCAGGATGCTGAGGCAGGAAAATCACTTGAACCCGGGAGGCAGAGGTTGCAATGAGCCCAGATTGCACCACTGCACTCCAGCCTGGTAACAGAGCAAGACTCCGTCTCAAAAAATATAGATAGATAGATAGATAGATAGATAGATAGATAGATAGATAGATAGATAGATACATTTTAATTTTGATGAACTAAATTCTCAAGCACACAACTTTTAAGCATTCAGTGTGACAACATGGGAAGCACGTGTGAAGCACTCTGTTGCGTGTGGAGGCCTGGTGATGGTTTTGAGGAAATATTTATTTTCCTTGTGTGACGGTTTCAGCTCAACTAGCTGCTATTTCACGTAACATCACTTTTACTTGAAAGAATAACAGACAAACTGTGGTAATTCAGAATTGGGTCTTTAGAAAGCATTTTCTCAAAAATGAGGAATACAATAAGATTTTATTTTTAAGTGAATCTTAGGATGTTGAAAAACTTATATACGTTGCCATGAACTTGACAGCTTTACAATATTTAAAAATTTATTGATAAGGTAGGTGGTGACATTAACTAATGTACTTTTCGAAACTGTCTTATGAAATGTGTCAATGTTTGTAAGACCTGCATAATTCAGCAAAGCAATATTTTCAAAGTGGGAATGCATGAAGTTACAAAATCATGACTGGGTAAAATATCCACTCCAAGTACAATATAAATCAATGGTTTTTAAAGTAATGAGAGTATGAAAAGTATATTTATCTGAGCACGGTGGCTCACGCCTGTAATCCCAGCACTTTGGGAGACAGAGGCGGGCGATCACCTGAGGTCAGGAGTTAGAGACCAGCTTGGCCAACATAGCGAAACCCCAACTCTACTAAAAATACAAAAATTAGCAGGGCGTGGCGGTGCACCTGTAATCCCAGCTACTCCTGAGGCTGAGGCACGAGAATCGCTCGAACCTGGGAGGCAGAGGTTGCGGTGACCCAAGATTGCGCCGCTGCACTCCAGTCTTTTGAGATTCCGTCTCAAAAAAAAAAAAAAAAAAGGAAGAAAAATTAATGTAGTTTTAGATTGCACACTGCAACTAATCTTTAAGCAACTATATTTGCTGTGTTTTGGTTATCCACAGTTATTTGAGAAGGCCAATAAAATAACACTTCATTTTCCAAATACATGTATGAGGTTCAATTTTCTTCATTTTCTTCAACTAAAACATATTTTAAGAGATTGAATTCAGGGGGAATATGCAAGTCTAGCTGTCTTCTATGATGTCAGACCTTGAAGAGATTTGCAAAATGTAAAACGATGCCACTCTCTTCATTGAAGTTTTTCCTTTGGAAAATAGACTTCTCTTGCCTAAGAATGTGTTATTTATGTTAACAAGTAATAGGTCTATCATTTGTTATGTTTAAAATGAATTCAAAATATTTTTTAAATTTCTCAGTTTTCAACTTGAATGCAGAAAATATTATACCTAAGAGAGGGGCCCTGAGATTAAAAACTCTGAGAAACTCTTCACTACGCACACAAGAGTGACAAAAATAAAATGAAAAAGAAAAGCTCCTCAGAGACCTTAGCAATTTTTAAGTGTCCAGATAAAGAATGATTACTGGAAACAAAGGATATCAGTTATCTGAATATGTTGCCTAGTTTATTATAGGTACATGGCTGAGTTGAAGCCAAGAGGCAAAACATCAGCCAGCCTCACACGATAGAATTTTGACATCCAAATGAGACATAAACTCAACTACAGATGGTATATAACATTCTAGGTGTTTTTTTTCCTCTTTCTGAATAGTTTATTTTCAGTGCTGTTTTCCACAAAGAAGCATTTCTTTTTTTTTGTTTTGTTTTGTTTTGTTTTTGAGATGGAGTCTTGCTCTGTCACCCAGGCTAGAGTGCAGTGGTGCGATCTCGGCTCACTGCAACCTCCACCTCCTGGGTTCAAGCGTTTCTCCTGCCTCAGTCTCCCAAGTAGCTGGGATTACAGGTGTGTGCCACCACGCCTGGATAATTTTTATATTTTTAGTAGAGATGGGGTTTCACCATCTCAGCCAGGCTGGTCTTGAACCCCTGACCTCGTGATCCATCCACCTTGGCCTCCCAAAGTGCTGGGATTACAGGCGTGAGCCACCACGCCTGACCCAAAGAAGCATTTTTTATTGCTTTATCAAAAAAAAAATGTAGTAAGAAACAGAACAATGTTGAATGCTAGCTAGCTGTCTCCCTCCCTCACGAGGCTGAGATTTCATCATGAATGTCAGCCTTACTATGCTTTTGACTTAAATTTGAATTTCTTGTAATCCACTTGAAAATACATGCAATGATATTTATGAACATTTCTTAACGTTTCTCCTTTTTTAGTAGGAAATAAAATATCTGTTGAGAGTTATTTTTGATAGCTTTTAAGTGTGGGGAATAATGGGTTGAAACAATTAAAATGTCATTGCTATCTTTTTTTCCCTTCTTCCCAAAAGAAAGTCTAAGTGCACTAGTTAATATATTAGGAAAAGGGCATAATTTTAATATTGGGTTTCATTATCTATAATGAGGTTGTGATTTTTAAAACATTTTATTTACTCCATATTTTACAGCAGCCTGTCTTTCTTCGGCTGCCTCAAATACAGTACTGCTTCACCTGTGGACTGTATATACTTGTTCAGCAATGCCCTCTCTAAAGGAAAAAGCCTTCAATAGAAATATTAAAATGGGAACAGTGACAAGAGAGCAACTAGTGTAATTCCTGACACCCATATGTACCAGCATGCCCAGGGCTGCCCAGGAAGCCTGTGGCACAAATAGAAATTGGGTCCCTGTCCTGGATGCCTTCTATAAACTATTCTTATAACTATCTAAGAGATCATGCAAACAGATGCTTCATTGCTTTCTATAGTTCTGAATTACTACTTTTTACTTTTGCAGATAAATGTATGTTTTCCATTCTTCCAGTGCAACCTAGCCTCTTTTGGTGAAGAGGGGCAAAAATACTAGTTCTCTTCAACACAGGGGCGCTATTGCCAATTACGTGTTCATTACTTATGTTCTATCTGCTGTGGCTCCCTTTTCATGGACACCAATAATGTATACATTGAATCACCTTCCTGGTTGTCCGTATCATTTTTTTTTTTTTGCTGTTGTTTTAGTCCCAGTTTTGTTAATGTGCTTTATTAAGGGGAAAGAGGAAGTCAAAGCTTCCAAGTCTTTGGGATGATCTTTGTTTCCTGAGCTATTTTTCCTATGGACTTTTGTGTCCAGAAGTGCATTACTCAAAATCCTTAGCTGATCACACTCTCATTAGTCCACAGATGGCGCACTTTTAGGTACACGTGCGTGCATAAAAGCATGCACACATAAGTATCAAAAATAACTCTCCGGTATGTACGTAGTTCACTCACATTTTAAATAATATACCAATCATTTATATACCCACCACTCAAAATAAAAGTTAAGTCATTGGTAAACCATCCCCCTGCCAGTTGCTTCACACCACCTTCCCATCCCTGTGCCTCCTCCCAGCCAAAGCCGCCATCATCCTGAACCCATTCCTATTATTTTCATCTTTCCCTTCTATTCATCTTCATTGCACGTAGACGTACTTTGTGGTTGTTATTTTGGAGTTTTTCACCCTATATTTTCATCTTCAGTAAGAAAGGCAACAGATGTGGACAGGCTCTGACTCTAAAGTGCCATAACACACAGACATCTGTAACAGTGCTCATTGAGAAAGGCAGGATAATTACATTTTACTTATTGACCTTATTTGGAATTACCTTCAACTCAGACAAGGTCCACAGGCACAGACACGCCTATACCAGGTTCACTACTGAGCACATGAGAAATGGTGAATCGTAGAAATTACGGAGAAATTTTACACAGTTCCCCCAGCTGAGAGGCTCCAACTATCTTGGAATTCAACTCCAGTGTCATATAAGCATGTAAGGATATGCAAGTATCTTTTTTTCCTGTAATCTAGTAAACTCTTAATATCTGACCATTAATAGGCAAATATTTCAAAGATGCCATTCATTGATAAAGGCGCTCGATCTTGAATTTTTCAAGGTAAGTATATTTGTATAATTTTAGTAGTTTTGATAAAGATTAAGCTTGCAACTAGATATGGTTTATTACGTCTTTGTGATTGGTCATACTAAATAAAATGTTATAAATCAGAAAAAAAGTGTTCTTTATTCAATGGTTCTTTATTCTGTGGTTCACAGACTACTTTCATACTGCTTATGCCTTTAGGTTTTCTCTGCACCTTACACTTGGCAGGGCCTGAATGAAGATTTAGAGCTTGATTGATTGATTGTGCTGAAAAGCACTAATTTTCAGGTGGCTCCAAAGCATTTCAGTTCTTTCAGTTGGCTTGGTTCAAGCTCTTTGAATTATTATTGTTTATGTTTCTACAATCTCCGGTAAAGGACACCTTAATCATGCATTTTATTCCTCTGAAATTCCAAGGGATGCCTCTGTGAAATCATCTGCCCTAAGCCAGGATACATACACGGCTCTCCTCCCAGTCACAAGGACCATCTATAAATATGGTAATAACGAATTCCCCTAAGGATTGCTATGAGTGCCCTCATGTTTCATGATATGGTAAATGGTTTGAACAGTCACTACTTTACCAAAAAAAGAACTAGTTTCTGGAGCATGACCGTTTCATTCTCAGTGAGAGAGCCTGACTCCAACAAGACCGAGGTCTGTTGTGTACACACATTACTACAGAACTGTGGATGGGGAAGCAAAACTGCAGTTACTCTTCACCAGAGAATGCAAATTCCTAGCTCTAATGGTAGCTGTCATCCTCACATTTGAAGCCGTCTGAAGTAGATTAAGTGGCCACATTTAAAATAATGGCTTCAAATTTATTTTTAAAACGCTGCCTACTCACAGAAGAGCTGCTCTGTTGAAATTTAATAGTATTCCTTCTTGGGTTTTCTTCCATTTCGCTTACCCGTATCTTCCCTGACACATTGCACCGCATGACACTAACATAAATAGGAATGCACGTCTGCAGCGTTATTTCAGAACAGGTGGGCCTATTCTCCACTGTGGTGGAGTGCATAGTAGATCAGGTGGTATAATTGAAGACACTTTAACAAAAGCCCTCATCCACACTGTCTTGCCTCTCTGGAGGTCAGACATTTCTATCATTACAGTAGGATTCTTTTGGCATTTGGGGATTGCTTTGAACTCCAGACTCTGCTTTTAAAACTACCCATAACCTCAAGAAGCATTGCATTATCAGGTCACACCGGAATACTCTGCATTTTGCCCCGCCCGCCATCTCATGCATGTTCTTGCTCATTCTGTCTGCTTTGCCAGACTGCCCTGCTCTATGCTGGGACAGAAAAACCCCTTGCACCTATCCAGAGCTACCTCAAAGGGAACCTCCTCTGCAAAGATTCTTCCAACTTGCCCTAGAACCAATCACTAATTTTTTCACCCAAACACTTAGGGCTATTACGCCCATGACAATATCACACTAGATTATGTATGACAGGACAGGATAAGATAACAGGATGTAGGTATGACATCCACACTCCCTAGTGGTTTCCTGAAAGTTCCAATCTTGGGCACCCCCTCACTCCTGGGCTTGCGTCTTGATACTCTGAATGCATCCATGCATGAGACATCCACCACTTCAAACACCAGCCTTTGACTTCTCCATCTGAAAAAAACACTGCTTGCTCTTCACACCTGAGATAAAGTGTTTTGTCCTCCTGAATTCTTTCCCTCCCACCTCCTGCTCCCCTCTCCCAAGCCTGATTTAAGTTCTGTCCATCAGAGGCCCCCTCCCTATAACTCCCTATAATTGACAGCAATTATTCTTCCCATTTCTCCCATGGAGTGAGAGTCCACCTAGTGCAACCTCGATAAATATTTATCCAATGACAAAAATAAATCAATCCACGAATTGGTGACTTTGGCACCAGAGGAAAGAAATTTCAAATTCTTCGTAAGTTATGTAAATTATATGAGATTCTCTCACCTCACCTATGGACCAAACGAAATCTAGCCTTCTAGGTTTTTGTGAAAAATAAGCATAACTTGTGCACAAACCATTGTGGGCCTAGGTTCAGCTCCTATTTGTTAGTCTCCTTCCTACTTCAAACAATTATTTGATCCGCAAAGCTGTTGTTCAAACATGATGGAGCTCAAACACCAGCGGCCTAAGAACACCACGGAGAGCACAGGGGACATTCCTGGGTAGGAAATGGATGCAAAGCAGCAGGAAGAGAGTGATTACATCCTTCATCCCGTGGAACAGCAGCTTTCGTTGCACCTACTCTTCTCCAGGAGGAACATCGTCTCTCCTTATGCAAACAGGAATCACCGCCATTATAACCTGCTTTTCTTTTATTGTACTTAGTAAGTGATGTATAAATGATCTCATGAATGCTTCGTTGTATTTTGGCAAAAAAAAAAAAAAAAAGATGTCTTTCATCTTATGGAAAGTGTTTGGCTATGTAAACACAGTTACTGGCACAGTGTGGTAGTAACACTAAATGTTACCTAAACGTGGTAACAACAGTCTTATGCCTAGAAAGCTTCAAATGAAAATGCAACCCTAACAACCCATGGGTGCATTTATTTATGTCTCTTAGGATGCTCCAAGATGAAGGTGGCATTAGCAGATGGTGCTTATTTGGTGGTGACTTTTTATCCATCTTAGGGACCAGAATTTGAGCAGATAAGTTACTTGGTATGGACAGAGCATGAGCGTGTTATCACATGAAACCAGGATCCACTTGCCTGGTGCAGTAAGACCGGACATCCACACCAAGGTTTGCAGTGGGAGAAAGGAAGGAGTTTATCTGCAGGGTGCCAAGCAAGGAGAATCTAGCAGCTAAAGCTTCAGTCCAGAATTCCCAGATGAATCACAGGTAAGGGTTTTTAAAGGGAGGGATAAATTTCAGGAAAGCAGAAGTTACAGGCAAATTAGTAAATTAATATATGAAGGTTACACATTGGTTTTAGCCTTAAAGGACAGAATATTTTGAAGTGGGGCTTACAGGTCATAGGTGGATTCAAACATTTTTCTGATTTGCAATTGGTTAAGGAAAAGAAGGCTTTCTGTAAATATTTGGGGTCAGCAGAAAAGAACATTAGCCCCAGCTCCTGAGTATGACTTTCTCCAGGCCCTTAGGAAAAAATTTAGAACAAAGAGCAATGGTTCAGAGTTCAGTCCTCAGCTCCCCATCATCTAAGGTCTATGACCCCACAGATCTGTTTTGTGGGGTTCAGGGTTTCTGAAAAACCACTCAGGAACATATGTTGAGATGTTATCCCAGCCGGACGTGGTGGCTCACGCCTGTAATCCCAGCACTTCGGGAGTCCGAGGCGGGCGGATTACAAGGCCATGAGTTCAAGACCAGCCTGGCCAACACGGTTAAACCACGTCTCTACTAAAAATACAAAAATTAGCTGGACATGGTGGTGTGTGCCTGTAGTCCCAGCTACTCAGGAGGCTGAGGCAGGAGAATCACTTGAACCCCGGAGGCAGAGGTTGCAGTGAGCCAAGATCATGCCATTGCACTCCAGCCTGGGCAACAAAGCGAGACTCCGTCCCCCCCTAAAAAAAGATGTTATCTTTAGTTTCTACAGAGAACCAAACATCCCATGATTCTAGCTTCCCTAGCTATTTGTTTTGGGCTACTATTACCTTCTTGATTATCAAGTAGTTCATTTACCTCTCAGGAGTAGCTAGCTGCCTGGAATTTCCCTTGAAGGTACTCAAAATTTTCCTTTATGTCTGTGCTAAGGGTGGGTGGTCCATAGGCCCCTAAAAGAGGTCCCTCCTCCATCTCAAGAGTGAGTAAAAACTTTGCCCAATTAAAAAAAAGTAATTAAACAAGCAAACTTCTTACATCAGTTGCATCTGATAACTTCAGCTATAGATTTCGGCTCCAGCAACAACGACAGTGAGCAGGCATGAAGTGTCTCTGGGCCAGTAAGAAGGAGAGTGTTCTCGATCCCAGTTCAGGAGGATCGATTAATTACACAAACATCAACATTACAGTGGGAGGGCGTGCCTAGGGACATTCACTTACAGAACTATCTCCTTAAAGACAGTATCCTACGAATCCTGTACAAGTCCCATTTGCCACATGGAATCTCTTTTCTCACCCCCGTTGCCATTTCGTGTGGGTAACGCCTCATCTATTCATTCCAAGATCCTTTCCTGATACCTCGGTCTGATTTGCATCCTGAAGACCTTGTGTTCTGCTAATCTCCCATGCATCTGTCTAGCACAGTGGTCTTCCTGTTGGGGTTCCTCGTCTGTGTGCCTCTCTTGCCTGCAAGATGGTCCGTGCAGGGCTGTGCTCCCTGTGTATGTGGTATGGGGTAAACAAACACGTATTGAATAAAATACCTTTTCCTTTGTGCCTTGCACAAAGGAAAAGGTGGTTGCTTTTCATTGGAGAGACCAGGAGAACCTTTACAAAGCATTCATTCTTGCATTCTAATACATCCTACCCACCTAACAGAAACCCTTTTTTTTTTCTTTAATAAATGAAACCAATTTTGGCTACACTGGAAAGCAGTTGAGGCAGTTTGCTCCCACCTCACCATCTCCAAAAATGACAGCTCTAATGACATTACTAGAGTAAAAAGGGACACTTTTCACTTTTGGCCATCCTGACACAGGACTGGAAGCCAAAGGTGCAACAGAAGTTTTAGCTGCAGCTCATCTGCACTTAGCTTTTCAATTCTCAAACTCCCTGCCTCTCCTGAATCACCATTAGGCTCCAATACAATGGGGTTGACGCCCACTCTCCAGCCACACACCCTCAAAAGATGGATTGGGGTTATTTATTTGTATTGCTTCATTTTGTTTTCATTTTGTCAGTGATACTAACTCCACTCTAGAACAAAACACACGTCACAGTTTGCCTGGTTTGTTCTTTCTCCTTCAGTGTTATTGCAACTACTCAACCATTTGTAGCACTCAAACTGCAGCACTGACCTTAGTCTCAAAACTTTCAAACAGTTCCTCTCTATATCCCTCACTTGCATAACTGCATGCTCCCTATTACCAAAAATTCTAACATCTGATTTTTTTTTTTTTTTTTTTGACAGAGTCTCGCTCTGTCACCAGGCTGGAGTGCAGTGGCGCAGTCTCAGCCCACTGCAACCTCTGTCTCCCAGGTTCAAGCAACTCTCCTGCCTCAGCCTCCTGAGTAGCTGGGACTACAGAGGCATGCCACCATGCCTGGCTAATTTTTGTATTTTTAGTAGAGATGGGGTTTCACCATGTTGGCCAGGATGGTCTCAATCTCTTGACCTTGTAATCTGCCTGCCTCGGCCTCCCAAAGTGCTGAGATTACAGGCATGAGCCACCACGCCCAGCCTCTCATTTTTAACATGTAAGTCATCATGGGATTAAGAACAGTAACTCCAAAACTAAGTACAAACACAGAAAATAAAACCCTAGACTCCAATGCCAGGTTGGTGGAAATAAAAATGCCTGATCACAACCACAGCGCCACAGGCTGTTGATAAGGCCTTGGGCTGACACACAGACAACTTTACATTGCTTGCTGAGGACCTGGGGAAGTTCACTCCACCAAAAGACCCTTTCCAGTAGCAATTGCCAGCTTGGTATCAGAGGCCAGACTATTGAATTCAGATGCTGACTTGCCACTGACTAGCTTTGGGATCTTTGGCAAGCCCTCTAATCCCTCTGTGCTACAATTTTCTCATCTGTAAAATACAGATCAGTGAATTAATGCTTGGTAGGCACCTACCATCATTTTGGCACCTAGTAAATGCTCAATAAATGTTCACCGCCACTTCTACTTTTGCTGCTATTGCAATGCTTTACATTAATCCCCTGGTAAGCACCTTAATGTTAAAAATTTTTGGCCGGGCACGGTGGCTCACGCCTGTAATCCCAGCACTTTGGGAGGCCAAGGCGAGCAGATCACGAGGTCAGGAGATCGAGACCATCCTGGCTAACACGGTGGACCCCGTCTCCAGTAAAAATATGAAAAATTAGCCGGGCGGGCGCCTGCAGTCCCAGCTGCTCAGGAGGCTGAGGCAGGAGAATGGTGTGAACCTGGAAGGCGGAGCTTGCAGTGAGCGGAGATCACACCACTGCACTCCAACCTGGGCGACAGAGTGAGACTCCGTCTCAAAAAAAAAAAAATTCTCCTCTTTTCCCAACATACAATGTAATACCCAAGCCCTATTAGGCAGTTCAGTTAATATATGGATGGGTAAGCTAGAATTTATGAAGAGAATGGGAGAAAATTCTAGAAATAGTAACAATCATCAAAGCATCAAAGCAGCTGGCCAGAGAAGTGGCAGAGAAGAGCAAAGTAAGAAAGGAAAAAAAAAAAAAAAAAAAAAAGATTTGGGGAATATAAGGCCAACGGATCCATGGAAGTTGAGCCAGTTGAGCCCAAAAAGAGACTTGCCCATCAGAGATGTGTTAGACTTCAGCCCTAAGTGTGCTCCAGCCTGGTAGAGAAGCATATGATACATACTTGCATAGACTTATTAGATAATCAGCAAAACTGGTGGGAAGAGCCAGATTAGAGCAAGCATAAAAAACAAAAAGAACTAGGAAGAGAAGAATAACTCCTTAAGATACAGGGAAAAGTGCTTGGTCCAGGGAGAAGCTTGTCTGGGTTAGACACGGAAATAAGGGATATCGTCTAACATTTATTTCTTATAAAACTTTACTTCCAATGCCAAATAAAACTGAACTCTTCCACTATGACTATGACTATTTTTGTTTATAACATGGTAAACTATTCTATGGAAAGTGACATGGCAGGATAAACAGAGGTGTCTAGTAGACTAAGGAGCTATTGTAAAGACAGTATGAGCTAGAAGGATACTACAGGGTCAGAAAGTGCTCTAAACAATGTCTCCACCTACAAGATACAGATAATAATACCTTGCAGTGCTGGCATCATTGTTAAATAATTTAAAATATGAAAGTTCTTAGGATAGCATCTGGCACAGCAAAACCCATCTGATGTGTTAACTATGCTATCAGCAAGAGTCAGGAGTTAGCACAGTTACTGGTGACGACTGCAGTTAGGACATGACTATCAGAGTAGAGGGTTGACTTGGAGTGGGGGAAAGATGACTTGAGCTAAGGAGGCCAAGACCCAGAAAGGCCAGCACAAGGGAGAGGCAAAGCATGCAGGTGTGAAAGTCTCTGCAGGGCGACATGCACGGGGATGGAGGAAAAAACCCTAAACCACGAGCCAGAGTCTCTCAAAAATGAAGGAAAATGACTAGAAAGGAGAGAAGAAAACACTGACGGCCAGATATCATGAACTTCAGAGGATCTAGATGGTTCAAAAGAGGGAGGAGGTAAAGTGGCTTCCAAGTTGCAATGGGTGAAGGCAGACACAGGACCTGCAGTGACTGGGTATGGGAATCAAGTCTCCAATTGCCCACGCTCTAAGAAAGGGAGGGTCCTTGAGAGACAGGAAATGGTCAGGAAAGGGTGGGCTAGGATCTCAGAACTAGGTTGAAGATATAGGGGAGTTAGCAAATTAAGGCAGGGGCTTGTCAGGGAAGTGGGAAACGCCAAATGCGATTGAAACAGATTCAGGATGTTGCCTGATGTAGGTAAATGGGGCGTGACTTTCCAGTGGTGAATAAGGTCAGCTGGGCTGAGTAGAATGAGGGGATTAACCCCAGAGTCTCTTAGAGAAAAATGGGCAAACAGTTCAAGCTGTGGTTCTCTTTACAGATGCAGAGTTATCAAAGGGAAAAAGAACCTGCCTCAATTCTTCACAGAATGAGAGCTGCAAAGGTAGGGATAAGTGTAAAGAATGAATGTGCCTCCAATAAGAAAATGTCTCCCTCAATTTCTTCTTTTTTTATCTTATTTAAAGAATTCCCAGAGCCAAGCAACATATGGTACCATTTTATGTGATTTAAGGTCATTTATTTCTTACTTCTCTACTCTATATGGCTGAGTCTTGAGGATTGATTGACTGATTGGGACAGGGTCTTGCTCTGTCACTCAGGCTGGAGTGCAGTGGCACAATCAAGCTCACTGCAGCTTCAAATTCCTGGCCTCAAGCAATCCTTCCACCTCAGTCTTCAAAGGCACTAGGATTGCGGTTGTGAACCACTACTCCCAGCCTCAAGTATTTAGCATTTGTCTTTTTAACCAACCAATATTTACTGAGTGCCTGCTGTGTACCAAATACTATGCTGGGGATACCAGATGCATTAGCTATCTCCTGGCATTGGGGTATCCATACTCTAAAGAAGGAGATAGGAATAGCAATCAATAATTATAAATCAATGTAGAAAAGACTGGCTTCTTTCAAACAGCTTAGGATTTTCACAGCTCAACCATGTTGCAAGCAGCAATACTCTTTTCCTTTTTATGGCTAAATAATATTCCATTGCACAGATGTATTGCCTTTTATCTACCCATTCATCAGTTGATGGACAGTGGGTTATTTCCAGTCTGGGGCTTTGGGTGATAAAATTGTTCTACAGTTGGATGTGGTGATGGTACCTCACTCTTTGAAGATGCTAAAAGCCACTGCTTCGCCAACTTTAAATGAGAAAATTGTATGGTATGTGAATTATATCTGAATAAAACTGTTACCAAAAATAGACAGTAATACAGTTACGCACAAGATGTCCAGAGAGCACACACAAAGAGGTGCCTGCTAGGAGCAGGTGGTGTGAAGGGGTGAACCCATTTACGCCTAGCACTCCATTACTGGAACACCAAGCATGTGGGAGTTATTTATATCTTACTGCACAAGGTCATCGCCAAGGTCTGATTTTTCACATGTCTGCAATTCAAAATTTGCAACCTCTGGCATAAATGGGTTAAGTGAACGCTTCTTAGAAGAGGTAACCTCTGCTGGGGATGGTGGATCGCACCTGTAATCCCAGCACTTTGGGAGGCGAAGGTGAGCAGATCACTTGAGGTCAGGAGTTCAAGGCCAGCCTGGCCAACATGGTAAAACCTCGTCTCTACTAAAAATACAAAAATTAGCCAGGCATGGTGGCACACACCTGTAATCCCAGCTACTCAGGAGATAAGGCAAGAGAATCGCTTGAACATGGGAGGTGGTGATTGCAGTCAGTCGAGGTCTAACCACTGCACTCCAGCCTGGGAGACAGAGTGAGACTGTGTCTCAAAAAAAAAAGAGGTAACCTCAAACTATGTATTTAAAGTAAGCAGAAGATAGCAAGGTAGAGGAAGCACCGGCTAGGAGAGAATATTCAACACTAACATCAGAGACACAGGACTTCATGCTGCTTCCCGAGAGCAATGTTGATTTGAGTATTGCTAGAGGAACACATTGCTGCAGAAAGCGGTAAGGGAAGGGAGCAACGAGAGCCGCTGGAGGTAAATCACTCAAGTAGCTATGTGGAAGATAAATCTGGACAGAATGTGACTGGAGGCAAGGAGAACAGTTAGGAAGCTCTAAAATAATGGCAAAATCGAAGAAGCACAGAGAAGAGGAGAAAATAATAGCCAAAAAGAGAATAAAATAATTCTACGATGAAATGGAATCCAGAAACAGAAAACCATAGATCATCATAATTAGGAAATACAGCTTCCATGAAAAGGGCAGTAAGTCATCCTTTTCCAAAGAACATAGATCAGCAAATCTGGAGTTACCACAAGTAGACAAGCGACAAGGTAGAGGTGTCGTTTTCAGCATCAGCATAATATACTGTGTGTCTTGCACTTTAAAGAATGCCAAAGGTCCCATTATGTTGTGTCTTATCCTCCTCCGTAATGTCGCAATAGGAGAAAATGGCCATCGTGTCTGAATCGACTCTGATTACAGTAAAAGATCTGGCTCTACCACAGCATTTGATGATGCGAACATGGGATAAAGCATCCTCATCTGATTACTAACATGTATCCCATTCTAGTGACACTTAGGCTGGGTTATGAAACAGCCTTTCTCTGTATCATTACTATTTCTTAGGGGAAGAAAACAGTCAAAAACAAACAACTTAACAGTGTATTTCCCACATCACTCTGAAAACGTAGGGAAAAAGATAAGATCTTGCCCCTACACTGGGCTCAGAATTTTGATTTGAATAAAATCCAAAAAAAAGAAGCTATTAAAGTCACAAACCACTTCAAAAAAAGGAATTTATGGATAACAACCATTTCATACCTACTTTCCATTTAGTGGTGAACAATTAAAACCATTTCAGGTTTCCCCTTTTGGGCCACATCCCTCAAATGAACTCAGATGAGCCAGAATCCAAAGATGCTCTTAAGAACACAGCCCTGGCTCCCCTTTCCCTGCAAGATCATTTACCACCTGGAGAGGACCACAAGGCTTATTTGACACAAGTTATTTCGGGTCTGTCTCTGTAGTCTGCCACTTAGATCCATCGAATGTCAGAATGAGTCAACACTCAACTAATTCCTTAATGTTCTCTATCCTGCTCAATAACTCATTTTTATATGAGTTGGATATACATATGATACATCTTCGAGATAATCATTCTGATAATTAACATTCACCCAGTGCCCAGTGGAGTCCCTTTCCCTGTTGAATAAAGGATGCAAGGCTGTGTGGTCACAGCACACACATGGCCTGGCTCCAACATTTGGAGACTGCAGGCTGACCACCAAGCAAGGTGGCCGAACAGACCTCAGTAGCTGCCTATAAAAGATATAACTGAGTTGCCCAGCCAGGCACTAAATACTGCTCCTGTTTCTACCTGCGCTATGACTTCTGCTCTTATCAAAAGTCATTATGCAGGGCCAGGCATGAGGGCGCACTCCTGTAATCCCAGCACTTTGGGAGGCCGAGGTGGGTGGATCATGAGGTCAAGAGATCGAGACCATCCTAGCCAACATGGTGAAACCCCATCTCTACTAAAAATACAAAAAATTAGCTGGGCTTGGTGGCGCATGCCTGTACTCCCAGCTACTCGGGAGGCTGAGGCAGGAGAATCACTTGAACTTGGGAGTTGGAGTTGGCAGTGAGCCAAGATCACGCCACTGCACTCCAGCCTGGTGACAGAGTGAGACTCTCAAAAAAAAAAAAAAGTCATTATGCCACCAGACCAGGGCAAGTTCCTTATTTTGTGGAGCCTGGAGCTTATGCATTTGGGAGGGTGGCTCACCTTTAAGCAAAGAAGTTTAGGAAATCACTAATACAAAATTAAGAACAGGGCCTCTGAAAGTGCCTATGCAAGTGAGGAACCTTGGAGCTTAAGCCTCATGAGCTTCTTCACTACTCAGTACACATTATAATCATGAGCTCATTTGCTGCCTCCCGGTAACTACTTTGTTTATTTATATTGCTCCTTGTTCTAAGTATAATTTAAAGTGACTTTCTGAGCTACATACAATACAACAAGATAAACTTAAGCTCAAAGCGAATAAGCAAGAAAGTCTGGACTGAGAAAAACAAAGTATGAAGCCAGGAATAGAATTAACATTCAGAATGCTTTGTATTTGCTGGAGATATGGAAAAGTTTAGCGACAAATTTTCTAGTAATCAATATAAAGTGAGAAACATGGTTAATTATATGAGTTAGGCTAATAGTTTAATAAATACAAGCACAGCTAGTGAGATATGTCTCCTCTGGGAATTCTATAAAGAAATGAGCCACAATCTCAGCAGTATCCTTGCACTGTCTACTGTGGCATGCCTCTGTGAAGGCCCCGGCATCACGGCAGGTGCCAGTCACTAAAGGTACTGAAAGGCCAGTTGCTGTGGTTCAGGTACCCTGTTCTATAGGGTCTCACTTAATTCAAAGTCAGCCCTTAGTGCTATGTGTGAACCACGTGTACTCTGCAAAATCCCCTACAAATATCACTTCCCGCAAATGGTCTTATTTATAAAGCAGAGGAATGCTGTGAGTTTGAGGCTGTGCTCCAACACAGCTAGCTGAATGCTGCTCCAGTATATGCCTGTTTAATGACTATGTGTCACCAGAGAAAGAACTCACACCTACTTCTTAAAACTATTAATAAGTAACCCAAGAAGGTTAAGTACCTGCATCAAAGACCAAGGGAGAAATTCAGGTACAGCCAATACACAACCCAATAAATAATTTGGGGCCTTTTCTAATGTATAAAAGAACCCAATTATACTAATTAATATTATCCTTCCATTTTTACTCATTTTGAGAGTTCACTATTGCATTATATTTTACATTATAATAGGAATTTTCAGTAACTGTGACTCACAGAAAATTAACCTGGAATAAAATATAAAGTCTTGCTTATTTGCTCTCCAAAATAATTGTGGAAAACTCAGTATCTGCCCCCATACATTTTCTACTGGATGTGTAAAATGTGTTGACCTAAGTTTAAAGAGTTGCAAAAGAACAATAAGCCAGGCATAGTGGTTCATGCCTGTAATACCAACATTTTGAGAGATCGAGGTGGGTGGATTGCTTCAGCCCAGGAGTTGGAGACCAGCCTGGGCACCATAGCGACACCCTGTGTCTACAAAAAATACAAAATTGGCTGTGCGCGATGGCATGCACCTGTAATCCCAGCTACTCGGGAGGCTGAGGTGGGAGGATCATCTGAACCTGGTGGGGCAGAGGTTACAGTGAGTTGTGATTGCACCACTGCACTCCAGCATGGGGGACAGAGCGAGACCTTGTCTCAGAAAACATATATATTACTATAAATTCTGTTGTATTATAAATACTAACATTAAAAAATAGGCCAGGCATGGTGCCTCACGCCTGTAATTCCAGTGCTTTGGGAGGCCGAGGCAGATGGATCATTTGAGGTCAGGAGTTCAAGACCAGCCTGGCCAACATGGTGAAAAACTCCGTCTCTACTAAAAGTGCAAAAATTAGCCGGGCCTAGTGGCACGTGCCTGTACTCCCAGCTACTCGGGAGGCTGAGGCAGGAGAATCACTTGAACCCAGGAGGCAGAGGTAGCAGTGAGCCGAGATCATACTACTGCACTCCAGCCTGGGTGACAGAGTGAGATTCTGTCTCAAAATAGTAAATAAATAAAATAATAAATAAGGCGTTTCATCTCTCTTTTATAAGTTTCCAATGGAACTTAAGTAAAAAAAATCAATTTGAAATATAACTTATTATTTAATGACTGGAAATTTTACATTATTTGTTCCCACTTCGAGCTTATATTTTAATATTTCCCAGAACAATTACAGTAGAATTTTTTTTAGTACTTCAGTACATTTTTATGCTTCAAAGTACTTGTTACTCACCCTTTTATGCTTCATGTACTGGGGGGGCGGGGTGTGTGTCTGTGTGTGTGTGTGTGTGTGTGTGTGTCAAAAAGACAGAGTGGGAAAAGACAGAGAGGAATATTAACTTTTTAAACTTTCTATACCATAAGATCCTATACATTAGCTATTTCTTCTGGATTTAGTGACTATTCCAATTATTTATAATAATTATTACAGTTTTGTTGTTGTTGTTGAGACAGAGTCTCGCTCTGTCGGCCAGGCTGGACTGCAGTGGCGCGATCTCAGCTCACTGCACCTCCACCTCCCGGGCTCAAGCAATTCTCCTGCCTCAGCCTCCTGAGTAGCTGGGAGTACAGCCGTGTGCCACCACGGCTAATTTTTGTATTTTTAGTAGAGACGGGGTTTCACCATGTTGGCCAGGCTGGTCTCGAACTCCTGACTTCAGGTAATCTGCCTGCCTCAGCCTCCCAAAGTGCTGGGATTACAGATATGAGCCAGCATGCCTGGCCTGATTATTTTAATCATTTACAATTACTTACATAAGAAGCAAAAAAGTGACATACATTTAAAAATTATGAAGCAAACAAAGCAAAGTCCAATTACAAATGATACGGTTGTTTCAATTAGATCATGTATCCAAGAATGAATGTAACTTGTCGCTAGAACAAACCAGGCATCAGCACAAATTCTATTCCTATTTTTGTGTGGACCTATTTTTCCTTGCTTTGTGTAAGTTCTGGGAATGGGGTAAGATCCACAGAGACTCCAAGGCACGTCTTCCTGTTATAAGATGAAATTGGGAGCCGTGAAGAAGCAGTAAGCCAGATCCTCCGCAGGCGGCTTCACAGGAAAGCGAGCATATTAACACCGAAGATGTGAAAAGTCTCTGTCCCTGTTAACTACTGCTGCACAACAAACTCAACAAATGAGTGTGCTCCTGGCTTTGCATGGGGACTCTGCTTAGCAGGACAGTTCCTGTTGGTCTTATCTGTGGTCATTCCCACCAAGCAGTCAGCTATGGCTCAGCTGAGACTGGGGGACTCTCAACGGCCTCGTTGGGAGGCCTGGTGTTAGTGGGATGTCAGACGAGGCACCTCTGAGGTAGGAGGTGGGACTCAACTCCAGAGGCAGGGCTCAGACACCAAGCCAAATTGAGGACTAGGTAAAACAAGTACAGGGCAGAAGAAACTTTCTGTAAGGCACACCCACCAGTGTGCCATGTCAGTTTACCATTGCCATGGCAACACCCAGGTGTTACCGCCCTTTTCTATGGCAATGACCCAACCGCCCAAAAGTTACTACTCCTTCCCTAGAAATTGCATTAACTGCCCCTTAATCTGCATGCTATTAAAAGTGGGTATAAATATGACTGCAGAACTGCCCTGAGCTGCCGCTCTCCACCGATGGGGTGGTCCTCCTCTGCAGGAGCTGTAACAATGCTGCTTCAGTAAAGTTGTTGCCTTCTACCTCCAGTTTGCCCTTGAATTCTTTTCTGGGCAAAGACAGGAACCCTCATGAGCTAAGCCCCACTTTGGGGCTCACCTGACATGCATCACTTCAACTCTCCTCTTTTCCAGCAAGACAGTCCAGACTTCTTTATGTGGTCATTGGGTTTCAAGAGGGCCAGTCTCACTTTGCAAATATTCATCAATCCTGTTTTTGGCACATTTACTGATGTCTCAGTGAACAAGGTCAATGACATGGCCCAATTGAAACTCAGTGTTGGTGGGCACTCCCAAGAGTGTGGCCCCTAGAAGTAGGACTATGACAATCTCCCACAGTCCATCTTCAGGCCCCCGTGGAATGTCTCCCCCACATGTAAAACAATCCCTCCAGCATCTAGGACTCCCAATTCCCATCTAAACAAGGCGTCAGGCTTGAAGTCCATAATCTCATGATCTGCATCAGGGACAACTCTTCTTGATCTGAAATCTGTGACAAAAAAAGGCAGTTGCTCCTGTCACACACCCAAATGACACAGCTCCACCTTGTAGCAACGTGCCCCTGTCCTCTGGATCCAACAGGCAGCATGGGGCTGTCTTTCGCTTCCACATAGGAGGATATATCCTTTCTCCCAGGCAGTCAAAACACTTTTTGTTTTGTTTTGTTTTCACTTTCCTGATGAGAGAGGATTGCTCTCAACAACTCTTTCAACTTCTTCTCCTTTTCGTTTTTTGGGTTTTCTTTGTTTGTTTGTTTTAGAGACAGTGTCTCACTTTGTCACCCAGGCTGGAGTACAGTGGTGCAATCATAGCTCACCGTAGTCTGAAACTCCTGGGCTCGAGCAATCCTCCCATCTCAGCCTCCTGAGTAGCTGGGACCACAGACATGTACCACCATACCCAGCTAGGAGAGGGGGAGGGAGGAGAGGGCTCTGCCCCAGAGAAGAGCGCTGGCCCTGACTTGGAGCTAATGGAACAGAGAAGCTCCATTGTGTCTCTTTCTCAAGGCACCTCTCAGGAGTTCCGTCCTGAGCATAAATCCAATCCTTGAGTGAATAAATATTGTGTGGCACTCAGCCTGGAAAGCCTGCCCTTCCCCATCCTGCCCATCCATGTTCTTCTGTTTTGGAAGCCCAGTTCAAGGTCCAGCTTCTCCAAAATTCTTCTAGACGGTGCACTGTGGCTGTGTCCTACGGCAGCATTTTGGTTGCTTATAGGAGTCCCACACGTGGGGACCCTGGCCTTGGCTTAACAACATAATCAAATGTCAGGGCTTGGAGGAGGTTCAGAAACAATCCTGAAGTTGTCCTTGGAGCTCTGGAGTCCCCAGGAAGAGCCTCGGAGGACAGGAGGAGGCTGGGTTGATGGGATTCCCTGACTGCCACCCGGAGTACCCAGGGTTTTTCTGCCTTTTATATTAGGGTTCCACTCAAGAGCTTACTTATACAAAGGATCCCATAGACTTTTTTTCAATCATTCAATTCACCAAATATATATAAAAATATATACCTATATCTCCCCTGCAATATGGCAGGCAGCATCCTGGGTGCTAGGAACACAGAGTGAAAGAAACACAGAAGTTCACATATTCTTGGGACGCATACCCTACCATGACTCCACCGGGTCCTAGGATGTGATAGATGAAGACTGAGATTAGACTGCTGGGATCCTGTCACCCACTAATGTCAGAATTGGAATCTAGCCTTCTCTGATTTCTGGGTAGAACAAGGTGAGTCTAGCTAGGCTGGAAGGAAAGGAAGAGTACCAGGAAAAGGAGAGGAACACGGGAATAATTTAGGGTGGGAAATAACTTTTCTTGGAAGAGACAGAAAATCAATAGGTTACAGAAAGAAGACAATAGTCTTGGGGTCAGGGAAACTTGCCTTTGAATTCTGTCCCCCTTCTAAAGAAAGTTGTATTCATATTGACAGCCATCTCCGACTGCAGGTGTTTTTCATTTTCAAATTGCCTCTCACACGTGAACATCGGCGTTCACTGATGTGCAGGGAGCATACAGGGAGTGCTGGCTGGCCCTCTTCCTGCCCTGCCCTCTCTGAGATCATTAGCTGTACTAAGCTTTCCAGTGTCCGAACTCATTTCCTTTCTACTGAAGCTCTTACCTCTGGATGCTGAACCTCTTCTTTTTAGCTCCATTTAACAGCCTGGCTCCACCTCCCGTCAGCTACCTACTGGACAGCCACCATAGGCACATTCCCGAGACTGTTCTCTCACCCCTGAACAAGCCATGGGGGGTTGGAGGAGAGCCTGAGGTCTGTCCTAGGCTAGGACAGAGGGAACAACAGCAGACATGGTCCCGGCTCCAGCAGAGGCTGCAATCTTGCTGAATTAACGACCGCCAAGGCCTGTGGAGACATGGCCTGAAGGGGTCCTTGCAGGATCTCAGAATGACAACAGACAGACCTACAGCAGAGGTGGAGTCTGGGCAGGGCGAGAGCAGGCACGAGAGTAGAAGGTGGGAGACTCTGGGCACAGGTGTTGGGGGATGCACGGAGCTCCGGCAGGTAAACCCCTGCAGGTGATGTAGCTCAGATCAGAAACAGCCTGGAACACCAGCGTAAGCCCTGCAGACTTGGCGCCTTTTCCCACTTCAAATGTCAGTTCAGTAAACATTTGCTGTACATACCCACAAGAATGGGAAGCAGGGAGTCTAGCAGGTATCTCTGTACACCCACGTTCCTTGCAGCAGAACTCACAATGGCCAAAAGGGAGAAGCAACCCAAGTACCCAGCAACAAATGAACAGATGAACAGAATGTGAACTGGATACACAATGGAATATCATGCAGCCATGAAGAGGAAGGAAATGCTGACCCAGTCTGCAGCACAGATGAACCTCAAGGACATTACACCGAATGAGAAAGCCAGTTACAAAAAAACAAATATCAAATCATTACACTTATATGCAGTATCTGAAGCAGTCAAATCCACAGAGACAGGAAGTAGAATGGGGGCTGCCAGGGGCTGGGGGAACGGAAATGAGGAGTTGGTGTTTAATGGGTGCAGAGTTTCAGCTGGGGAAGATGAGAGAGCTCTGGGAACGGATGGTGGTGATGCTTGCACACCAGTGTGAATAGGCTTAATGCCAGACAACTGTGCACTTAAAAATGGTTAACATTGGCTGGGCGGGGTGGCTCACGCCTGTGATCCCAACACTTTGAGAGGCCGAGGCAGGCAGATCACCAGGTCAAGAGATTGAGACCATCCTGGCCGACCTGCTGAAACCCCGTCTCTACTAAAAATACAAAAATTAGCTCGGCATGGTGGCGTGCACCTGTAGTCCCAGCTACTCAGGAGGCCGAGGCAGGAGAATCGCTTGAACCTGGGAGGCAGAGGTTGCAGTGAGTCAACATCGCACCACTGCACTCCAGCCTGGCAACAGAGTGAGACTCCATTTAAAAAAAAAAAAAAAAAAAGGTTAACATTGTAAATTGTATGTCACATGTATTTCATCATAATTTTTAAAATATGTATTTTATTTTTAACATATAGATTTTTAAAATACATAAATATATATTTAAAATATATATTTTTAAAATACATAAAATATATATTTAAAAATATAATTTTAAAATACATAAAGTGTATATTTAAAATATAGATTTTTAAAATACATAAAGTGTATATTTAAAATATAGATTTTTAAAATACATAAAGTGTATATTTAAAATATAGATTTTTAAAATACATAAAGTGTATATTTAAAATATAGATTTTTAAAATAAAGTGTATATTTAAAATATAGATTTTTAAAATACATAAAGTGTATATTTAAAATATAGATTTTTAAAATACATAAAGTGTATGTTTAAAATATAGATTTTTAAAATATATAAAGTGTATATTTAAAATATATATTTTTAAAATATATAAAATATATTTAAAATATATTTTGTAAAATAAAATATATATTACAAAAATATATATATTTTTAAAATATACAAAATATATTTTAAAAATATATAAAATTTATATGTAAAATAGATATGTGAAATAGATATGTAAAATAGATATGTAAAATAGATATGTAAACTAGATATGTAAAATATATATTTTAACATACTCAGAACACATGACTTTCTACCACATGTTCTGAGTATGTTATGGGTGGAGGAATGAGAGAGGGGTAAGACGCAGAACCCACCCTCAAGGACTGAACACAGGCTGCCTGGAATTCCTGCAGGTATCTTGTACTGAAATGCATGCAGGTATTTCAGATGTGCTGCCCAAGGGTTAACGTACTCTTTCAAAAAACCCTCTTTACCGAATGTTCTAGCTGTCATGAAGTGGCCACACTGGGGCTACTCAGACTTACCTGCTGTTTCCACAGATGCCAACTACCTGACGTCGTGCTGGTCTTAGCACCGCCCGCACTCCAGTTCCAACCTCAGAGAACACACAAGTTTCTTGCGGCCTCTGATTTATCACCACAACAAATCTGAATAGCCACACATGTGAGTGTTGCTTTTGATGAGAGCCCTCTTTCCGCTTATTTGCTTGATAACAACAGAAAATAGAAAATACTGGTTTCCACTACTCAGTAGCCAGGACAAGGAGCCATAACATTTTGCAAATCTAAGATGCCTAATACCTGAGTTTCTCTCTTTTTCGTCATCAGACAAGCGCTACCTGCATCACAGCACAGGCTGGACTCCACGGGATGAATTCAACAGAGGCTTTTCAAATCCTGAATTACAAAGCTCATGGAAAGATGAGGGATAATTTCTCAACTGAACAATAAAATTATTCTTGGGGCTGGATGTGGTGGCTCACGCCTGTAATCCCAGCACTTTGGGAGGCCAAGATGCGTGAATCACTTGAGGTCAGAAGTTTGAGACCAGCCTGGCCAACATGGTGAAACCCCAACTCTACTAAAAATACAAAAATTAGTCGGGCATGGTGGTGCATGCCTGTAGTCGCAGCTACTCGGGAACCTGAGGCACGAGAATTGCTTGAACCCAGGAGGCAGAGGCTGCAGTGTGCCTAGATCATGCCACTGCACTCCAGCCTGAGTGACAGAGAAAGACTCCATCTCAAAAAAAAACAAAAAAAAAACAATAAAAATAAAAAAATAAATTATTGGTAAATGAAACGAATGCAAATGCAGTTATTGATACTTTAGACTGTGATGAAAAAAATAAATAAAAGGCAACCTCTACCTCAGTTTGGAAGTTAGAAATGGTGTCATTTATGAAGGTTGCTGTGGTTTCCTTCAACCCCTTCTGTTTGCTGAAGTGGTTGAAATTCATTCTGACTCATGACTCTGAGCATCTCTTTCCAAGATCCCACCAGGTAACTAGAGAAGCAGCTCTGAGCGGCACATTCAAGAGTTTTCTCTTTTTTTGTTGTTGTTTTCCTTTTTTTGAGATGGAGTCTTGCTCTGTTGCCCAGGCTGGACTGCAGTGGTGCAATCTCAGCTCACTGCAAGCTCCGCCTCCCGAGTTGACGCCATTCTCCTGCCGGAGCCTCCCGAGTAGCTGGGACTATAGGCGCCTGCCACCACACCCGGCCATTTTTTTTTTTGTATTTTTACTAGAGACGGGGTTTCACGGTGTTAGCCAGGATGGTCTCGATCTCCTGACCTCGTTATCCGCCCGTCTTGACCTCCCAAAGTGCTGGGATTACAGGCATGAGCCACCGCGCCCAGCCAAGAGTTTTGTTTTCTTAAGAAAACTGCTGATGCACAGGTAAGATTGAGTGCATTCACCCTCCAGAATATCTGAGGAATAGGTTAGGGTACTGGTGACCTCAGAGACACAGAAAGGAGCATCACGCCTTGATTGGCACTAGGCTGTTTCCCCAGCCCCAGGCATTTCTGAGTCTTAGGATCCCATGGATCTGTGAGCAAGAATAAGCAATGGACAATTCTTCCTCTCTTTGTGCAGTACGATGGGAGACACTGCTCTGGGGTCTCCAGCTCATGGTGAACCCTCAAGGATCTGCTTCTGAGCAAGCTGCCTTCTGAGGCCTCCACATTCTTGCTTGGGGCTTGGTCTGCAATTGCTGCAGAAAAATCAGGTGGAGCGCAATGGAGAAGATAGGTCTTGTACTGTCAGTTTACAGAGCAGTAACCACTGATGATAGGTGATGGTTCACCGGCAGTGTGGCTCTTTCTGTACGTTGGCTTGCTGTCTTATCGCATATTTTTCTGCATCATTAGAGCACCTTAGGCTTTCAAACAAGGTATAGTAGAAAGAATACTAGTCTACCAACTACAGAATCCGAGTTGCAACCCTTGATCAATTAAGAGTTCTATTTTCAGAGAACCTCATTATATACCAGACCCATCACACACAGCATCTTATTGCTTTCTCAACAATCCTCTGAGGAAAGAATATTGATCATCTCCTCTTTACAAATCAGTAAAAGAGGCTTGGAGGAACTGAATAACTTACACTCGAAGAGGTGAACCAGGGACTGGCCCAGGCATCGCCCAGAAATTGTCCTCTCAACCACACATGGCCCAAGTCTAACTTCCCTTGTGTTGCTTTCAAATCAGCCACAATCCAACTCCACTGCCTTGCCCTGCCCAACATCAATTCTCAAGGTCATTTTGCATATGGCCAAGAGAATATTCAAGGAGAAAACCCCTTAGTGCGTGGATTCTCAGAAGGTGGAGAAGACAGCAGGGGGAGTGCAAGATGCCATCCAAGGACAAGGCTAGAGGGAATGGAACACCCAGGTAGCACCTAAATTTTGCAATTTTGGGGAGCTCTGGTGACAGCATCCCAGGAAGAGCAATGTCCTCCCACGAGAGCTGCAATCAGAGGCACTAGAGTAGAAATCCTGTAACAGTAAGGAATTTTTCCACTGTGAGTAACAGGAAACCCTACACAAATTGGATTGCACAATAGAGAAATTGCATTGACGCAAGTAATGAAGCATCCAAAAGAAGCCCTGGAGCCTCGGCGAGGATGGGTCCAGCCCTTCCATGAAGTCAGCAATGGCAGCAGGAGGCTTCTTCCTGCCTGCCTCTCAGCATTGCCATCCACAGCGTCGCTTGGGTTCCGATGGCCTCAGGATGTCTCCAGCAGGTCCCAGCCTGTTCCATCCAGGAGAACCAGAAACTGGAATCACCCCATAAGTGGCAGCAGGGGGAGTTCCCACAAGAAAGTGCCCCAAACCATCCCTAGATGGGTCTGGTTAGGATTCCAAAGAAAGGAGCACTAAGCACAGGGTGATCAGCCCAGAGCATTGACGAGGGGAACTTACAGAGGCTGCAGCAATCCTTCCCGCAGACAGCGAGGAAAAAGGGTGTTCTACCCACGCATGTCTGCAGTGAGGGGTTCAGGCCATGACGTTCATATGAGAGTTTAAAAAGTTTGGGTCAGGCCCAAGGCTATTTCTTTCATTGCTTTGGGCAACAACCTAGATCATTTTATCAGTGTCCAGGAATGTTCAAGGACCCAGTCTGGGGGTCAAGTCTGCTGGGGAAAACCTGCCACTGGCTGGATTATAGAGTCAACAGGACACAGAAAGAAAGCGGGGGTCCTGGGGGACCCAACACAGGGTTACTTCCTTCCCTATTTATTCTCATCCATCCAAGGAAAGCATTTTTCCAGTATTCCCAGGAATATTGGAAATTCTCAGGAAATATTGGAATATTCCCTGAGATTTTTCTTATTATCCAGGTTTCAGTCACTTTTCACCCCCAATTCACACATGGTCAGGGAACTGGAATGAGCCAGTTTGTTAGTCTGCAATCATGTTCTATAAAATGATGTTAGAATCCATTTTTCTTCAGTCTCATTGGTCCCTATCAGAAATTATCAGCGACAATACTGAGGAGATAATCAACAAATGTCTACAATAAATACTAATGTTACCTGACTCATGCACAATGAAGCAAGAACATTTGGTTTATAAACCAAAGGTAGTTTTTTTTTGTTTTGTTTTTGTTTTTTTTTGAGATGGAGTGTTGCTCTGTTGCCCAGGCTGGAGTACAGTGGCGCCATCTCGGCTCACTGCAACCTCTGCCTCCCAGGTTCAAGTGATTCTCCTGCCGCAGCCTCCCAAGTAGCTGGGATTACAGGCGCCCGCCACCATGCCTGGCTAATTTTTGTATTTTTAGTAGAGATGGGGTTTCACCATATTGGCCAGGCTGGTCTTGAACTCCTGACCTTATGATCCACCTGCCTCGGCCTCCCAAAGTGCTGGGATTACAGGCGTGAAGGGGTAGATTACTAACTCAATGTTTCTTAAATGGAAGTCTAAAGAATTTTGGAGATGTCCATACTTCTCAGAATCTTTAACTCCATATAAAGTGAGAGAAGCAGCAGGCCTTATTTCCAACAAAGTTATTGGACTTTGTGTTTCACATTTTGGATCTGGATTCACTCACCTGACAAGTGAATTCATGGGATTTCTTATTTATACCAGAGAAAGGGTCAAAAAGGCAAAGTGAAACTGTCAAACAAGAGATCAGTTACTAAAATGGCAGAACTACATATGTAGTCTGTGATGCCGTGGTCCAGGCCCAGTCTCGCTAGTCAGGCTGACACAGGGTGTAATCACTATGGAAGCAAATCCGTCTCTCCTACCCGCCCTTATCCACTTGTTCCCTGTCCCTCAGCATAGTCCAAGGGCAATGTTGATCACCACCTATGAGGAGGGCTAGGAGAAATACTGCTCCTTCCCCATCCCCAAACACACATTCCTTACAGCCCGTGATGGACACGTGTGATTCACACATGTACCAAGTGTTGGAAACACCTGAGCTAGATGTTGCACACACGTGGCTTTTGGGTGAGATGGGTCATAGGCACACCCATCACATTGTTGGAGGAAGGGTCAAACATCCAGGCTGGCTCTGTGACCTTAAATTAGACAATGACCCCTGAAGCCAGCACCCAGTGAAAGGGGTCCCTGGCCCCCCTGCCTGATTTCCACAGTGCCCTTGGCCACTTCCCCTCCAGCTTGCTTGGGCCCTGTTCCAAATCTGTTTCTTTCCTCTTCACCCTTGTGATGCCTCCATCCACTTTGTGTCTCACATGTGCCTTGTAGTCACTCAACAATCAATGCCCAGTTGAACCCAGGTCAACCCCCCAAGGATCATAGCCTCAGAACAAACCCCAGGTTAACCTTAACCCTAAATAGTGTGCCAAGGTTTATAGCCTCAATTCTAAAGTTAAAAAAAATTCAAGTATATACATACATATATATACACATATATATGTTTCTCAGAGGAATATTATGATGCATGAAAAGATACAGGTTATAAACCAAAATATATAAAGAAAGAGCATTTATTTGAATGTCATCTGCTTTTTTCTCTTATTTTCATAATATTAAAAATAAAAGTTAACTATTCTTTCCTGGAATTCCAATAAATTAAAATTATTCAATGGTATAATTTGACAATGGGCAAATTTTTCATTCTGAGACTATTCCATTCCTGGAAACTCTTTGATGAAAATGCATAATGATCCAATGGCCAAGGTAGTTTAGAAACCAGCTTTGTCTGACCTAAGTCATCTGTTTTGTATTTCCCGTATATAAAATAATAATATCTCATCTACAAATACTAAGAAACTATGAATTTTTTTGAGACAAAGTTTCACTCTTGTTGCCCTGGTTGGAGTTCAGTAGCATGATCTCGGCTCACTGCCACCTCCATCTCCCTGGTTCAAGCTATTCTCGTGCCTCAGCCTCCCAAGTAGCTGGGATTACAGGCACACCCCACTACGTCCAGCTAATTTTTTGTATTTTTAGGAGAGATGGTGTTTCACCATGTTGGCCCAGCTGGTCTCAAACTCCGGACCTTGTGATCTGCCCGCCTCGGCCTCCCAAAGTGCTGGGATTACAGGTGTAAGCCACCATGCCCAGCCTGTAGAGGCCTTTTTCTGCCACCTCCGCATAGTCTCTCCTGATGGACACCCTTTGTGCAAAATTATCCACAACGTGTTCTCTTCTCTTAAGCATCTTCACAGTCCTCTCTCATACTCTGTTCCAACATGGTCACTTATGTGCACTTTATGTCTCCCCTTCTCTTGAATGTGAGGTTGTTATATAAGAAGATTTGAGATAAGTAATGCATTACCCTATCTGATTTGCTATCCTTTAATCTATTTCTCCAGGGTCTTTTCTCTGCAAAAGGAAGAGTGAACAGTGTATCCTGTTCCCAGTGACTTGGCAGGTCCTGGTCATGAATCAGCCATTCTACCTTTAATCTTAGTGGACCAACCTGTCTCAAAAGAAAAACTACTTCTAAGTGAAATGTAAATGATACTGGCTTTATGCAAGGGTGCACTGCCGATTAATAGCATAAAAATGAGGTTTTTAAAATATCAAATACTTATATAATTTTCATTGTGCCAGAAATGGCTCTAAGTATTTTACAAACCTTGCTTATTTAACTTCATAACCACACTACAAGCTGGGCACTATTACCCCTATTTGCAGAAACCACAGCCAGAGAGTGAAGTAAGCTGTGCAAGGTCATCAACAGCCAGTCAACAGCCAGTCAATGGCCAGTCAACTCAACAGTCAGTCAACGGCAGACAGGTTGGGTCCAGTCCATGCCCTCAATTACAGCCATGCTGCATGTGAGTATGGAGTGAGCGGTATTTTTAAAAAAGCAAAAAATGTTATATAAACTGCAGATTTTATTGATATTAATTCATTGTCACTAAAGGGAAAATGTGCTAACTATTAAGAATGCAATTTAGAGGTTATGAGTTTGAATTGGATGTTTGAAGTTATCCAGTTTCTTAGGCAACACAGAAAAGCAACTTGAATAGTTCAATGACATGTAACCTTTCAGAATATTTTGCTTTATGGTTTTATCATAGTTGCTTTTTTATCCCCATGAATAGAGCAAGACCTTCAGAATAAATTGTTCTCAAATAAGTAATGCAATATTTTATGTTCTGGTCTTTTAAGAAATCTTTACTCAATTCTGTGATGTATTGAAAGATATAGAATATTGTAAAATAACAGATGACTTGTGGTACACTTCAGTGAAATTTAAAACTCCACAATTGTTTGCATAAAAACATCAAAACAGAGAGGAAACATAGTATGGTGTTATCTTAAAGCCGCAGGAGTCATCAAAATAGTCCAGTTAGACTCAAAAAGGGACCAATAATTATTTTCCAGTAACCTTGTATACTCGGCCAGTGCTAAATAGCAGTGATAGATACTTCCTGAGAAGGCGATAGCAGGAAAGAAGGGGTTTTTTAGCTGGAAGCCCTAAAAGTTGTGCAGGATGTTTTCGATTTAAAGATCATGCTGTAAAACTTCAGTTAACTCAATTAGATTTATTTGGCTTCAATTATTTGTCTTATTATTTTTAGGAACTATGGTTTTGCTGCAAGTAATTGAACCTCTCCAAATTTCAGTTTCTTCATCTATAAAGTTGTAAAAGCCCCAATGTCATATGTCTGTAGTGAGGATGAAAGTCAATGAGGTAAAGCATCATTATTATTTTAGGGGATACAGACAAAGGTGATGTTAAGAGAATGGGCTTTAGAGTCTGGCTGTGAAACCTCAGTCTGCCACTTTCTCTTTGAAAGACCTTAAGTTCATCTCCAAGCCTCAGCTTCTTCATCCATAAATGGAATAACAATAATCTTTATAAAGTTATTATAAGGATTATAAAAACCAATGCATTTAAAGTACATTAGCATAGTGCCTTCAAGAAAGAAAGTGTTCAATATATATTAGCTCATATTATCATTGCCATTAACACCATAATTATTGATTTTATATTCACAAATTAGCAAAAGTTCTTTACTTTTCAATTTATTATGAATACTACATCTCATGTATTTCTTCCCATTTTTCACTTTGTCACTTTTTCAATTCCCCCAATGCTAAAATTCTCTCCTTTCTAGATGCCTAGACTTTAACATGACTTGGTTGATATTAGCCTGGCCATTCATGAAGAATTTATAGGCCTCCCTTATAGTTAGACTGAGGTCATGTCCCTGGGTTAAGACTAATAGGAATTAGAACAAAGTGATGTACATCATCTCCAGACCAATCTTAAACCCTTCCACCAGGGAATCCTCTTGTGTGTTTGAGGCATATGTGGAGTAAGACGACATCACAAGATAGAAACGCTTGGATCCCCGAGTCACAGCCTGGAGGAGAGCCTCCCAGGAGACCTATCCAAACTGTACTACATTTTGATATGGGCTAGAAATAAACATTTATTATACTGATACATTTAAATTTCAACGTTTATTTCTATCACCTCATAGCCTAAGCCTACCCTAACTAATGAAACTGGCAATCAAGAAGTAGAATTACAAGTATGCATAAGTATCAAGATAAAATGAAAAATGATCAGAGGGGAACAAAAGAAAGGAAGAAGAAAAATTCTGAGAAAGAATGGAGCAATGACATGAGAGAGGACCAAAAAGAGCCTAGGACATTACCCTGCACATGTAGAGATTGATGGCAAAGGTCTATACAACAAGACTGGGTCAAGCGAGGTGACTCACGCCTGTAATCCCAGCGCGTTGGGAGGCCGAAACCGGCAGATCACCTGAGGTCAGGAGTTCCAGACCATCCTGGCCAACATGGCAAAATCCCGTCTCTACTAAAAAATACAAAAATTAGCCTGGTGTGGTGGGGGGCACCTGTAATCCCAGCTACTCAGGAGGCTGAGGCAGGAGAATCACTTGAACCCAGGAGGTGGAGGTTGCAGTGGGCCGAGATCACACCACAGCACTCCAGCCTGCGTGACACAGTGAGGCTCCATCTCCAAAAAAAAAAAAAAAAAAAAAAGGAAAGACTTGACTGAAATAATGTTAATTAACTGAATTAAGCCTTGTATCATGAGAGCTCAGATCTAGCTTAACTTTTATAAATAAAGTAGAAATGGAAGAGTACTTTGCAGAGAGAAGACATGGTAGGAGAATGCTTGACTTTATACAATGGAGGAGTACAGTTCAGTCACATGAAATATGAATAAAAATGAGTGAATTTCAGAGCTTAAGGAAGCTTGGAGACCATCTGGTTCAACCCGTTACAGCTATGAAATTGCAAGTGTGTGGCTAAGCAGGGACTAGAACCGGGACTTTCAAACACCAGATTCATGCGTTCCCCACCAGCCCCAGGCTATAAGACCTGGAAAGAAGAATAAAAATCCACTCTTACCTAACTGACTTTGATTAATTAGGCTTTCTAACAAAGTAATTATCAACACAATTTCAGTATAGAATCTCTTAAGAGACTGTTCGCAGATGCAATATTTGTGAAGAGACATTTCATTTAATTACATTAGACAAGGAGATGGTCTCGACTTGGAAATGCTCAGGAAATAAACTTTTCAATGTAATTTCCCACTGGAGAGTATACACATAATAAAGTCATTGACTTCAGCTAGCACTAATCAGTATTAATGCCTTCAATCATTGCCATCAATAGCTATCTTGGAGAATCACAAAATTTATCTGCCTTCCTACAGTGGAGGCATAAACGGATACGGGTCCCCTTGTAGGAAGAGGACCAGGAGCTGCACCAATGGCTGTGTTTCCTCCTCGATGACCTTCCCATGAATGAATGTGTCCCCCTTGGATACTGCCATCCACTCACCAGCCGTCCATTAGTTCTTCAGAAGTATTGATCAATATGCAACACTTAAGGTTTCAAACAACACTTAAATGCAATTTTTGAAGGTATCTCAAGGTGGGCCTTGGTAAATGGTAACTTTTCAAAGGTTGCCTGAAGCCATAACAACAGGGGGAGCACAGCATGCTGCCTTTCCCTGTCAAAGGACATGAGCCTTATTATCTCAGCAATATCCCAAAGCACCTCACAAGTCTGGGAAAAAAATTTCAAAACAGCAAGCAATTTTCAGCCCCAAACTGCACAAATTAAAGCATTTCTCTCTGCTCTGAACTTATTCAGTCTCAGTACAGATATGTTAAATGAACTGACATAAGAAGTAAAATGAAAATTAAATTAAATTTGCCTTTTCCCTGCAGGGAACACTACCCATAAATAAAATGCTGCGAACCCAACCGTTTCCCTTTAGAACATATGAGAAAACACTGTAATCAACTGCCCGCTAAGCAAAATGATCCTGGTTGTTCTCACCAAGTACTGCATTTCATGAGAATCATGGTGCATGCCTTACCAATATGTTCATTGTCGTATTACTCTATAGCTGCATTAACCTTGCATGCCATGGTACCAAGCAGATAAGTGTAAAACATAGCCTGACTCCATATGTGAAAATCTCTCATTATTTTATCATTACTTCTTATACTGCTATTATTACCAGGCAATTGTTATTGTCCACAGTTTACAAATAAGCAAAGAGAAGTGTAAAGGAGAAAAGGAATGTCCAAAGTGTTAATGGATACTTGTAAACCACTGACATAGTCTGGGGCACAGCTAAGGACAGAACCCAGATGGTGCAATTCCTCATCTTTGGGCTAAGAGTCCACCTCGAAGGCTGTCACACAAGGTGATTATATCCTGTGGCTTTCCACAGCCATTAAGATTCTCAAATCAGCAGGAGGCTGTCTCCATACTTTGAGTTTCCAGGAGCAAACCACAACCCAATTTAGGAATATAATGAACAGCTGCATTTCAGCCAATCACAAACAGCCACATTTCAGCCAATCACAGGCAGCCAACTCTTCATCCCTTGCCCAGATGAGGCAGATGCAGAGCTGTACCCAATCATCTGACCTCTCTATATTGCTTCCATGTTTGGCCTATAAAAGCTGGCTGCTCATACTGCTGAGTGGAGCTCTCTGAACCTGCTTGGTTTCTGAGGGCTGTCCGATTCCTGAATCCTTTATTGCTCACATAAACTCTGCTAAATTTAATTCATTTAAACCTTTTGACATGATTAATTCGAAAATTATTAAATGGCCCCCAAGACCCCATGTGTTCTGAGCCCTGCCTGCCCTTCCTGCCCCTCCTGCCTCAACCTCTCACTTCACCCCACCTGAGTGAGGTACACAGCTCCAGCCACACACCAGGGCCGCCATCTGGCCTGCATCAGCTCCTGCTCATCATCACTTAGTTCTGTGACACCCACAGATGTCCCTCCCCCAGAGATGCCTTCCTTTACATTTCACTTTTTTGGCTTTCCATATTATTATACACTTTTTCTTCACAGTACTTACCGCTGTGTAAATACAGTCACACAAACACATATATACACACAGAAGTGTTTGTATGACTTTGTTTATATCCCTCACACGCATGCTTTAAATCTGTGCTGTGGACCACTTCATACCCAGTGAATTGCCCAGGGCCTAGTATGCAGTAGGTGCTCAATAAATACTTCTTGTTTCTGAATCAAAATGTTAACCTGTTCTAACACGGATGATAGGAAGGCGGAAAAAATTTTTAGCAAACTAACACAAGACCAGAAAACCAAACACTGCCTGTTCTGTCTCATAAGTGGGAGTTGAACAATGAGAACACATGGACACAGGGAGGGGAATATCACACACCAGGACCTGTTTGAGGGTATGGGGTGAGGAGAGGGAAAGTATTAGGACAAATATCTAATGCATGCGGGGCTTAAAACTTAGATGATGGTTGATAGGTGCAGGAAACCGTCATGGCACATGTATACCTACGTAACAAACCTGCACGTTCTGCACATGTATCCCAGAACTTAAAGTAAAATAAAAATAAATAAATTTTTAAAAATGGATCTTCATTTTAAAGAGCTCTTTTTAATCATTTATAATGTTTCGCTGATTTTTGCATTTAGATTTTAATTCTTCATGGCTAGATTCCACCCAAAGACTTTTCTCTCAAAGCTAGGGGGAGAAAAAGAAGAAAAAAATAAGAAACCTTTTGGTAACATTTGAATTTTGTGAAATTTTAAATGATACAGTATCCAAATCAACCTCTGACTTCATTTTGAGTTCGATCACTTCAAAGAGAAATTCATTTATAAAACATCATATCTCTCTGGTCATTCACTGAATATTTACAACTACCAATCACTTTATTAAAAGGGAAATTAACGTAAGAAAATAACTGTGACAGGAAAAAATGTATTCATTTTTTTTCACTAGTTTTCAGAGCATCTTCCCTCCTGCTTCCTCCAACTTGGCCCCCTTCATCCCATTTCAATTTCCAAAATGCTGCACACAGTGAAAGGCCTTCTGTCTCAGCCAGCTCCATTCTTGAGTCTTAAAATCTGCCTTGCTTGTACTATCTCAGAAAAGCAAAACATCTCTCAAGGGAGATCAACAGAACAACCAAGAAATCCAAGGCCACTCAGGGCTGAGTCTGAGAAGGTTGAGGGAGTTGTGACACAGAGGGAGACAGAAACTGAAGGCATTTGTCAGTCTGTGCTGAACAGGGCTGGGGGAAGACAAAAGAAAAGATTTTAAAGTTTTGTTCCTATTTATAAATTGAACATATTTAGCCTTTTTTAAGAGACCAAGTAAAGATTTAAAGTTATTGAGAATTCTATCCGGATTTTGAACATAAGTGTCTAAGGATCCAGCAGAGGCAAAAGAGTCATAAATGCAAATTCCACAAGCTAAATAAGACATAGGGAACCAAACAAAGAAATTCACGTAAAAAAACATAAGTGAAAATAATTAGCAGTTAGATAATCTGATCTCCAAAATGTTCCAACTCATCTAAAATTTTAACAGTCACTGATTTGACCAGTGTTCCGTGAATATTCTCTGTGTTCTGAGAGCTGGAACAGGACAGCAGAAGAAGAAAAGCAAGATCAAAAGAGGCTTCCCTGTAACACCTTACCATTCTGGCTGGGAGCGGTGGCTCATGCCTGTAATCCCAGCACTTTGGGAGGCTGAGGCAGGAGGATCACCTGAGGTCAGGACTTCGAGACCAGCCTAGCCAACATGGTGAAACCCCCATCTCTACTAAAAAATTACAAAAATTATCGGGGTGTGGTGGCAGGCACCTGTAGTCCCAGCAACTCAGGAGGCTGAGGCAGGAATTGCTTGAGCCCAGGAAGTGCAGATTGCAGTGAGCAGAGATTGTACCATTGCACTCCAGCCTGGGAGACAGAACAAGACTCCATCTCAAAAAAAAAATAGATAGATAGATAGATAGATAGATAGATAGATAGATAGATAAATAAATCTCACCATAGTCTCAGGGTGAACATGCTAAATTACCAAATGACTCTCAAAATTTATCATATAGGTTATCATTATTCAAGTTCACCAAAAGAGCTGATTAATATAAATTAGACTTGTTGGTAAAGTTTTCTGAAAGAGATTATAACTTGAAAAACAGATGAGATTTAAGTAGGGGTGGTGGAGCCAAGATGGCCAAATAGGAACAGCTCCAGTCTACAGCTCCCAGCATGAGCAACGCAGAAGACGGGTGATTTCTGCATTTCCAACTGAGGTACCAGGTTCATCTCATGGGGGAGTGCCAGACAGTGGGGGCAGGACAGTGGGTGCAGTGCACCACGCATGAGCCAAAGCAGGGAGAGGCATCGCCTCACCCGGGAAGTGCAAGGGGTCAGGGAATTCCCTTTCCTAGTCAAAGAAAGGGGAGACAGAGGGCACCTGAAAAATCAGGTCACTCCCACCCTAATACTGCGCTCTTCCAATGGGCTTAACAAACAGCACACCAGGAGATTACATCCCGCACGTGCCTCGGAGGGTCCTACGCCCATGGAACCTCACTCATTGCTAGCACAGCACTCTGAGATCAAACTGCAAGGTTGCAGCGAGGCTAGGGGAGGGGCGCCTGCCATTGCTCAGGCTTCAGTAGGTAAACAAAGCAGCCAGGAAGCTCGAACTGGGTGGAGGCCACCACAGCTCAAGGAGGCCTGCCTGCCTCTATAGGCTCCACCTCTGGGGGCAGGGCACAGACAAACAAAAGACAGCAATAACCTCTGCAGTCTTAAATGTCCCTGTATGACAGCTTTGAAGAGAGTAGTGGTTCTCCCAGCACGCAGCTTGAGATCTGAGAACGGGGAGACTGCCTCCTCAAGTGGGTCCCTGACCCCCGAGTGGCCTAACTGGGAGGCACCCCCCAGTAGGGGCGGACTGACATCTCACAAGGCCGGGTACTCCTCTGAGACAAAAATTCCAGAGGAATGACCAGGCAGCAGCATTTGCGGTTCACCAATATCCGCTGTTCTGCAGCCACGGCTACTGATACCCAGGCAAACAGGGTCTGGAGTGGACCTCCAGTAAACTCCAACAGACCTGCAGCTCAGGGTCCTGAATGTTAGAAAGAAAACTAAAAAACAGAAAGGACATCCACACCAAACACCCATCTGTACATCATCATCATCAAAGACCAAAGGTAGATAAAACCACAAAGATGGAGAAAAAACAGAGCAAAAAAACTGGAAACTCTAAAAATCAGAGCGCCTCTCCTCCTCCAAAGGAACACACCTCCTCACCAGCAACGGAACAAAGCTGGATGGACAATGACTTTGACAAGTTGAGAGAGGAAGGCTTCAGAAGATCAAACTATTCCGAGTTAAAGCAGGAAGTTCGAACCAATGGCAAAGAAGTTAAAAACTTTGAAAAAAAATTAGACGAATGGATAACTAGAATAACCAATGCAGAGAAGTCCTTAAAGGAAGTGATGGAGCCGAAAACCAAGGCACGAGAACTACGTGACGTATGCACAAGCCTCAGTAACTGATGCAATCAACTGGAAGAAAGGTTATCAGCGATGGAAGATGAAATGAATGAAATGAAGCATGAAGAGAAGTTTAGAGAAAAAAGAATAAAAAGAAATGAACAAAGCCTCCAAGAAATATGGGGCTATGTGAAAAGACCAAATCTACATCTCATTGGTGTACCTGAAAGTGATGGGGAGAATGGAACCAAGTTGGAAAACACTCTGCAGTATATTATCCAGGAGAACTTCCCCAATCTAGCAAGGCAGGCCAACATTAAATTTCAGGAAATACAGAGAATGCCACAAAGATACTCCTCGAGAAGAGCAACTCAAAGACACATAATTGTCAGATTCACCAAAGTTGAAATGAAGGAAAAAGTGTTCAGGGCAGCCAGAGAGAAAGGTCGGGTTACTCACAAAGGGAAGTCCATCAGACTAACAGCGGATCTCTCAGCAGAAACTCTACAAGCCAGAAGAGAGTGGGGGCCAATATTCAACATTCTTAAAGAAAAGAATTTTCAACCCAGAATTTCATATCCAGCCAAACTAAGCTTCATAAGTGAAGGAGAAATAAAATCCTTTACAGACAAGAAAATGCTGAGAGATTTTGTCACCACCAGCCCTGCCCTAAAAGAGCTCCTGAAGGAAGCACTAAACATGGAAAGGAACAACCAGTACCAGCCGCTGCAAAATCATGCCAAAATGTAATGACCATCGAGACTAGGAAGAAACTGCATCAACTAACGAGCAAAATAACCAGCTAACATCACAATGACAGGATCAAATTCACAAAAACAATACTAACCTTAAATGTAAACGGGCTAAATGCTCCAATTAAAAGACACAGACTGGCAAATTGGATAAAGACTCAAGACCCTTCAGTGTGCTGTATTCAGGAAACCCATCTCACGTGCAGAGACACACATAGGCTCAAAATAAAGGGATGGAGGAAGAGCTACCAAGCAAATGGAAAACAAAAAAAAGGCAGGGCTTGCAATCCTAGTCTCTGATAAAACCGACTTTAAACCAACAAAGATCAAAAGTGACAAAGAAGACCATTACATCATGGTAAAGAGATCAATTCAACAAGAAGAACTAACTATCCTAAATATATATGCACCCAATACAGGAGCACCAAGATTCATAAAGCAAGTCCTTAGTGACCTACAAAGAGACTTAGACTCCCACACAATAATAATAGGAGTCTTTAACACCCCACTGTCAACATTAGACAGATCAATGAGACAGAAAGTTAACAAGGATATCCAGGAATTGAACTCAGCTCTGCACCAAGCGGACCTAATAGACATCTACAGAACTGTCCACCCCAAATCAACAGTATATACATTCTTTTCAGCACCACACCACAACTATTCCAAAAATGACCACATAGTTGGAAGTAAAACACTCCTTAGCAAATGTAAGAGAACAGAAATTATAACAAACTGTCTCTCAGACCACAGTGCAATCAAACTAGAACTCAGGATTAAGAAACTCACTCAAAACCGCTCAACTACATGGAAATTGAACAACCTGCTCCTGAATGACTACTGGGTACATAACGAAATGAAGGCAGAAATAAAGATGTTCTTTGAAACCAACGAGAACAAACACACAACATACCAGAATCTCTGGGACACATTCAAAGCAATGTATAGAGGGAAATTTATAGCACTAAATGTCCACAAGAGAAAGCAGGAAAGATCTAAAATTGACACACTAACATCACAATTAAAGGAACTAGAGATGCAAGAGCAAACACATTCCAAAGCTAGCAGAAGGCAAGACATAACTAAGATCAGAGCAGAACTGAAGGAAATAGACACACAAAAAACCCCTAAAAAAATCAATGAATCCAGGAGCTGGTTTTTTGAAAAGATCAACAAAATTGATAGACCGCTAACAAGACTAATAAAGAAGAAAAGACAGAAGAATCAAATAGATGCAATAAAAAGTGACAAAGGGGATATCACCACCGATCCCACAGAAAAACAAACTACCATCAGAGAATACTACAAACACCTCTACGCAAATAAACTAGAAAATCTAGAAGAAATGGATAAATTCCTCGACACGTACACCCTCCCAAGACAAAACTAGGAAGAAGTTGAATCTCTGAATAGATGAATAACAGGCTCGGAAATTGAGGCAATAATTAATAGCTTACCAACCAAAAAAAAAAGTCCAGGACCAGATGGATTCACAGCCGAATTTTACCAGAGGTACAACAAGGAGCTGGTACCATTCCTTCTGAAACTATTCCAATCAATAGAAAAAGAAGGAATCCTCCCTAACTCATTTTATGAGGCCAGCATCATCCTGATACCAAAGCCAGGCAGAGACACAACAAAAAAAGAGAATTTTAGACCAATATCCCTGATGAACATTGATGCAAAAACCCTCAATAAAATACTGGCAAACTGAACCCAGCAGCACATCAAAAAGCTTATCCACCATGATCAAGTGGCCTTCATCCCTCGGATGCAAGGCTGGTTCAACATATTCAAATCAGTAAACGTAATCCAGCATATAAACAGAACCAAAGACAAAAACCACATGATTATCTCAATAGATGCAGAAAAGGCCGGCCTTTGACAAAATTCAACAACCCTTCATGCTAAAAACTCTCAATAAATTAGGTATTGATGGGACGTATCTCAAAATAATAAGAGCTATCTATGACAAACCCACAGCCAATATCACACTGAATGGACAAAAACTGGAAGCATTCCCTTTGAAAACTGGCACAAGACAGGGATGCCCTCTCTCACCACTCCTATTCAACATAGTGTTGGAAGTTCTGGCCAGGGCAACTAGGTAGGAGAAGGAAATAAAGGGAATTCAATTAGGAAAAGAGGAGGTCAAATTGTCCCTATTTGCAGATGACATGATTGTATATCTAGAAAACCCCATTGTCTCAGCCCAAAATCTCCTTAAGCTGATAAGCAAATTCAGCAAAGTTTCAGGATACAAAATCAATGTGCAAAAATCACAAGCATTCTTCTAAACCAATAACAGACAAACAGAGAGCCAAATCATGAGTGAACTCCCATTCACAATTGCTTCAAAGAGAATAAAATACCTAGGAATCCAACTTACAAGGGATATGAAGGACCTCTTCAAGGAGAACTACAAACCACTGCTCAATGAAATAAAAGAGGATACAAACAAATGGAAGAACATTCCATGCTCATGGGTGGGAAGAATCAATATTGTGAAAATGGCCATACTGCCCAAGGTAATTTATACATTCAATGCCATCCCCATCAAGCTACCAATGACTTTCTTCACAGAATTGGAAAAAACTACTTTAAATTTCATATGGAACCAAAAAAGAGCCCACATCGCCAAGTCAATCCTAAGCTAAAAGAACAAAGCTGGAGGCATCATGCTACCTGACTTGAAACTATACTACAAGGCTACAGTAACCAAAACAGCATGGTACTGGTGCCAAAACAGAGATATAGATCAATGGAACAGAACAGAGCCCTCAGAAATAATGCTGCATATCTACAACTATCTGATCTTTGACAAACCTGACCAAAAACAAGCAATGGAGAAAGGATTCCCTATTTAATAAATGGTGCTGGGAAAACTGCCTAGCCACAAGTGGAAAGCTGAAACTGGATCCCTTCCTTACACCTTATACAAAAATTAATTCAAGATGGATTAAAGACTTACAAGTTAGACCTAAAACCATAAAAACCCTAGAAGAAAACCTAGGTAATACCATTCAGGACATAGGCATGGGCAAGGACTTCATGCCTAAAACACCAAAAGCAATGGCAACAAAAGCCAAAATTGACAAATGGGACCTAATTAAACTAAAGAGCATCTGCACAGCAAAAGAAACTACCATCAGAGTGAACAGGCAACCTACAGAATGGGAGAAAATTTTTGCAACCTACTCATCTGACAAAGGGCTAATATCCAGAATCTACAATGAACTCAAATTTACAAAAAAAAACAAACAAACAACCCCATCCAAAAGCGGGCGAAGGATACGAACAGACACTTCTCAAAAGAAGACATTTATGCAGCCAAAAAACACATGAAAAAATGCTCACCATCACTGGCCATCAGAGAAATGCAAATCAAAACCACATTGAGATACCATCTCACACCATTTAGAATAGCGATCATTAAAAAGTCAGGAAACAACAGGTGCTGGAGAGGATGTGGAGAAATAGGAACACTTTTACACTGTTGGTGGGACTGTAAACTAGTTCAACCATTGTGGAAGTCAGTGTGGCGATTCCTCAGGGATCTAGAACTAGAAATACCATTTGACCCAGCCATCCCATTACTGGGTATATACCCAAAGGATTATAAATCATGCTGCTATAAAGACACATGCACACGTATGTTTACTGCGGCACTATTCACAATAGCAAAGACTTGGAACCAACCCAAATGTCCAACAATGGTAGACTGGATTAAGAAAATGTGGTACATATACACCGTGGAATACTATGCAGCCATAAAAAAGGAAGAGTTCATGTCCTTTGTAGGGACATGGATGAAGTTGGAAACCATCATTCTCAGCAAACTATCACAAGGACAAAAAAACCAAACACTGCATGTTTTCACTCATAGGTGGGAACTGAACAATGAAAACACATGGACACAGGAATGGGAACATGACACACCAGGGACTATTGTGGGGTGGGGGGAGGCAGGAGGGATAGCATTAGGAGATATACCTAATGTTAAATGACAAGTTAATGGGTGCAGCCCACCAACATGGCACATGTGTACATATGTAACAAACCTGCACGTTGTGCACATGTACCCTAAAACTTAAAATATAATAAAAATAAAAAAGAATTAAAAAAAAGAAGGAAATACACAAAAATGTCCACCAAAAAAAAAAAAAAAAAGGTTTAAGTAGGGGTAAGGAAGTGGTGACAAGCTAGGTTGGGAAACCATGTGACAGGAGGCTATGATGAATGCACTTCATCTGTTTAGTGTCCACAGAAACTCTTGCGGAAAAAGGAGAGGAAATGCAGTTTGATTCCAAATGTAGGGGTCTCTCACCTCGAGAGCTCTTGAGTCTGGCTTTCACTACTGATGGTTTTGAGCAGGGGAACCCCAAAATGAAAGATAAGTTTGGTAAGTTATGGAGACTGGATGGAATCTCCAATTCCCAGAGTCCAGCACGTGGCCCAGCAGAGTGCTGTGAGGTTCTCCTGGGGTCATGAAGCTGACCCCAAAATTAAGCTGCATTGTCTTGTGTTATGTGTACGTGGTGACTCATTGCACAGACGTTTGCATTCATCTTGGGATGCGACAACTCTGTGTCTGTCGCTGCTGGGACAGGACAGCCTATGCTACTCTTGTCCTGGTGTAACTGTCAACAAGGCCCCTTTCACTCTCACAATTGTCCAGTTTGGGTGACATATTATATGGTCACCTAAGATATGGGATTTTGAACAGTGATCTACAAAGCTATTTTTCAATGTTATTAAACTATGATATTTATAAACTAAAGGTAGCACATTTGAGGAGAGGACTGAAGATCCTAACTCAGTATTTTAGTGAGAGCTCTTGCTGCCCCTAAAATGTCAAGCAACAAAGTAAAGCCTCCATTGCACAGGCATCCACAGAGAGCCAGCATTTTGGAAAACACTTGATCATATTGTTAGTTATCAACAACCTTTTGAGCTGTCTGTGATGTTCAATGGCTGCCATCTCTTGTATTTCAAATATAAATCATTATTCACTTAGCTTCTGATGAAAAACTATGCCTGTTGGATGGTCTGTAGGATTGCTTGTTTACCCCTCAGTGTTATAATGCCTGTTTGTTAGCTCATTAATGCTTTGGGCCAAGACTTTAAGAACTGCCTGAACTGCAGTTGAAATAGGAGCCACTCCCACTCCCATAGTTAAAGCAAATCTACACTTAACCCTGCTTCACTGAATGCAGTCGTACCATGAAACTTCATTGCTATCACTGAATTCTTTTCCACTGGCAACTGTGGAAGGGAAGAGTACCTTTATTATGGTGCTTTGCCCTGACTAAGCAGTTAGAAAAAATATAAGGGTCCTTGGGCCAGATAGAGGACACAGAGGTAGTGAGACCACCATTTGGGGTGCTTCTGTGAAAGTTAAGAGGTGAGGCTCCCGGTACAGGGCAGTGGCAGGAGACGGAGGGCACATATGAGGAGTGCAGTTCCAGGGCCCCAGAAAGATATTTTACACATCTGGCCACTTGTAGTCTGGAATTTTAGACGGAGTCCAAGTCCGAATCTACAGTTCTTTGGGACGTATCTGTGATCTTTACAAAGTAATATACTCTAAACTATTGAGACTCACATCCAAAATGGGCAGTTTTCATGATTTGTCTCTACAGAACAGGTAAGAACGTTATCAAAACAAAGAAGTGACATTGCTCTTTCATCAACAAACTTCCTTGAAGATTTAAATCCAAGGAAGAGGATGTAAACTTTTTTCCTTTTTTTTTTTTTGAGACAGAGTCTTGCTCTGCCACTAGGCTGGAATGCAGTGGCGCAATCTCGGCTCACTGCAACCTCCACCTCCTGGGTTCAAGTGAGTCTCCTGCCTCAGCCTCCCGAGTAGCTGGGACTACAGGCATGCGCCACCACACCCAGCTAATTTTTGTATTTTTAGCAGAGACGGAGTTTCACCATGTTGGCCAGGATGGTCTTGATCTGTTGATCTCGTGATCCGCCCACCTCGGCCTCCCAAAGTGCTGGGATTACAGGCGTGAGCCACCCCGCCTGGCCAGAAGATGTAAACTTTTAAATCCAAGGTAAAAAAAATGATGTGATGGGTCCCTATTTTACAACATGTAATCAAATGCTTAGATTGGTTCCCTGCCTGAAAGTCTCTTTGCATATATCAAGTTACGTTTTATCATTTGTGCCCAACAATTTCTTCCAAAAAAAATCCCTTGTCCTTTAATGAGGAAAAAGAACATCTTTGCTGTTTAGAAAAGGGCGTAAGGCCGGGCGTGGTGGCTCACGCCTGTAATCCCAGCACTTTAGGAGGCTGAGGCGGGCAGATCACCTGAGGTAAGGAGTTCGAGACCAGCCTGGCCAAAATAGTGAAACCGTCTCTACTGAAAATACAAAAATTAGCCGGGCATGGTGGAAGGCACCTATAATCCCAGCTACTCAGGAGGCTGAGGCAGGAGAATTGCCTAAATCCAGGAGGCAGAGGTTGCAGTGAGCTGAAATTGGACCATTGCACTCCAGCCTGGGTATCAGAGCAAGACTCCATCTCAAAAAAAAAAAAAAAAGAAAGAAAGAAAAGGGCATACAATATTGATGAACTCTTGAAGCTGCTTCTGCAAGTAATCAGTTTGTGTATTTCCCAATTTCAGGTCAACTAGTACTCGTTTAACAAGTTTCTAAAACATTCTTAGACCAAAATTTTCAGAGGAACTTTGCAGATTGCAAACAAACCCATCAAAATAACCCAGTTGGCCTTAGCTGCCACTGACCAAACAAAATGTGACGTTTACAGAGTCCTGAAATTCTCATGCTGTAGAAGCCACCAACGAGCTCTGAAATTTGACAGGAAACAAATGCTAGAGTCATAAAGCAAGTGATATAATCATTCAAGACAAATGAGGGAGTCTTTTTTTCTTTTTTTTAATGAGAGGGGGTCTCACTGTGTCACCCAGACTGGAATACAGTGGCACAATCACGGCTCACTGCAGCCCCAACCTCCTAGGCTCAAGTGAGCCTCCCACCTCAGCCTCCCCAAGTAGCTGGGACTATAGGCATACACCACCACACTCAGCTAATTTTCAATTTTTTTTTTTTTTTTTTTTGTAGAGACTGGGTTTTTCCATAATGCCCAGGCTGGAAGCAAGTCATTTCAACTTTTTAAATACTTAATACCAGGAAAAAGAAATAGCTTCTTCCATGCTGTTTTCTGGTGATTAAATCAACATTATTTTGTATGTATGTCCAAACACACACACACACACACTGTCTGTTTCATCTCCCTAGCTTACTCAAAGTGATAAAACAGGCTCCAGCCAGAAACATCACTGATGGAAACTGTGACTTTTATTTTAACTAATGCGTCTATTAAAATGAGGCAGGGTTCGGTCGTTGAAGTCAGACGTGGCATTCAAATCACACCCATGGACACATAATTGTCTGTAGAAGAGAGTACAAGTGAATCGAATCTTACAGCAGCAGAGAAGTTCTCCATGTCGTCGCCATGATTTCATCAGCTTCTCTTTAGTCTCTCCTGCACGTTTCCTTCAGTCTGAGCAATTCATGCTGAACCTCCTGATCTTCCAACCAAGATTTGGGCTGCAAATTCCTCCCCAGCAGAACTGGAGAACTGGAGAAGCTGAGCTCAGTGCCATCAGCCCACCACTGGGACTCTGTGACAAATGGAGTGCAGAGGTGACAAATGGAGTGCAGAGGCCGGAGGAAGCTGAAGACCCCTGGCAGAGCCCTGGGGGTGCCATCACACATCCTCCCGGGGCACAGCGACAGGAATCCAGAGAGGCGGCCCAGTTCAAGTCTCACAGAAAACCCAGAGTCTGATTAATATTAGAACATGGCTCTCGGCAAGGCCCTCATCATCCACAGCACCACAGCCACTGAAATATTCAGGAAGGCTAACAAGCAGGTGCCCTGGGGAGTTAATAGCAGAGACGGAAAGCCTCTCGCCAGCTCCATAGCCAACACAGAGCCAGGTGGGATTGTCAGTAATTAAAAGCCTTACTCAGTAGAAGCCTTTATAAAATGAATTGTCGAATTCCATCAGCATTAAAGAATAGGCATTGAACTTTCAAAATTACATAAGAATTTTTTAAAGCCAGAATTAAAAACGCTTGACTACATTTTGCTTTTTGTTTGTTTAGTCATTCACACATATCTATCTGATGCCTACCGTGTGCCTAAGCCCTGCATATACGGAAAACTAATAGGCCAGGAGAAGGTTCCCTTGGTTGCCACAGCCAGGCCTGGATCACTCTCGATAACTAGCCCACAATAACTGCTGGGACTTCGAGGAAAAACTCATTTTGAATAGTGCCGCCTTCCCGAAGGCCTGCTGGAAGCACGAGTGGTGAGAGGATGCCCAGAAGTTGCTCCTGGAGGAATGAGGGTGGCCTGTCCTGGGTCTCTGTCCCTGGGTCTCAGGACATAGCACTATCGCCTAAGGATGAAGGTGATCCGAGATTTGGCAACAACGATTGTGAGCACCTCCATGGCAGGAAGCAGGATATGGGCTTCCTACACTCGTCCCAAGGCAGTGAAGAAAGGCATGGGCCAGGATGCAGCTCTCAGTACATTTTCTGTCACAGGGATGTGAATCCAGCCCAGCAAAGTTCAACCCAGTTGTCAACTGAAAAGATGGGGAAGACCTTGGATTCCCAAGACTCCGTGAGGGCAGAGCTCATGGCTTAACCTCTCTTTCCCCCCACCGGCTGAGGCAAAAGGCAAGCGCATGAGATCATTATTGATACATGCAGGAAAGTATGTATTTCATCAGGTAACATTTATTTTAACTAATAAGCACTAAGAACTTCAGCATTTATTAAGTAGAACACAGCAAACTTCAGCATGTCCTGATCTCTGTGAACTATGGATGGAGAAGGTAAGAAAGTGGGGTTCCGTTTTTCCCTTTCAAGTCCTTATGCCCTCATGAAGACTGAATTTTCACTCCACCAAAATTAAGGAAGCAAAGTGGCTTCCCGGAGTTCAAAGGGACAGCTCAGCCCCATCTTCGCGTCATGCAGAATGCATGAGCTGATTCTACTCTCAGCCTCTAAAACAGTAGGGAGATGATAACCTGCAACACAGCTAATTTAGAGGTCACCCTGATCCGGTGGGTAAGAACGCATTTCTTCTTACTCAAAATTTAGTCCCATTATTTAGCCCTCGTACACAACTCAGACAGCATTCCCGACGAATACCTACATCTCGTGCTCCTTTTCACAAGGTGCTGACATACCTAATAGTGCTTTTTTCCCCTCCTGGGCTCTGGGGGTGCCATGAAGGCTGGAGATAGACAGCAAATGAAGGAATAACAATTTTTTTAAATCTAGAACTTCCACTGCTTTTATTTCTGCATGAACGTGGAAAAGCCTCCTACTAGGAGAAATAACGTCGTGTAGACTCTGTAATACTTGCCAATAGGTAGGCCTCCCATCTGTAGACAGCTGTGGCTAAGCCACAGCTTATGGTAATTCGACAAAATTACCATTACTCACAAAAGTAAACAATTTTCTTGAAACAACAAGGCAGACAGGGTTGTAAGCAGAGGGCTTCATGGTAAATTTCTCTAGTAACTAAGCTAAGTTGGTCTTTTTGGAAACAAGAGTTGCATCTTGGCTCAAGCACATGTTTACTGAGTACCGAAATATTTTCAGGTATGGTGATAGGGGCTGTAGATTCAGAGCAGTGTGCTATAAAAGTTGTATCTTCCAGTGGTAGACACAGATGCTAAACCAGTAACATTGGTGAATGTCAGTGAAGAGATTTTTGTAGGATCCCAGACAGCATAGATGATTCATACCCAACCTACAGCCTGAGGTTCAGGGATTTTTCCAAAAAAGCCATGCCCTAAAGAGGTCTGGAGGTGTTAAAACAATAATAGTGAGGCTGCTCATTAGCCATTAGCTGGTGTGTGTCTTCCCTGTGAGTTCCTTCATGGAACCATTCATGTGCAGATACAACCCTACTGCCTGACACACAGAGATTGTTTGCTATATATTAATATCTGTTGACTGAATTCATGGAAGCAGAAATCATGGGATCTATTCTCGACCAATTAACTTTTTTGTCAATTTTCCTTTTTGAATTAAATATTGTATCCGGTAAAGTAATGTGTCTTCAAAGGAGTCTGTTTCTCTCTTTTACAAGATACTGTCAGCTTCTTGAGGGCAGCTGTGTGTCTTATTTATCTGTGTATCTCCAGCAGGTAGACCAGAACCTTGACATTACAGATGCCCAGTAGCACCTATTATGTTAAACTGTGTTAAAATGAACTAAAAGCGGGCAGTCTCTCTAAAGATGCTTCATTTTAACTACTTAAATAGAATATTTTGTTGAAATAATAAAAGCTAAGGATTATATATATATGTGTGTGTAATGTATAATATATAACAGTAAATAATGCATCATATATACAACAGTATTACATGTATTATATATGAAATGTAAAGCCCAATATAAGCTAACACATGTTGTGTAATTTTGTATTTATTATATAAATTCACCATGAGATCCCATTACAGAAGGAGCCTTCCTCGGCATAATGGGAGTGATAGATCACTCGACTTGTAAGAAAGCAAAGGGATAGAAGTATGGCAAAGGCAGGGGAAGAGCTCCGTGAAGATCCCAAAACACCACACATGAGGACAGCAGCCTGTCTTCTGCTCTTTTTTGCTTACTCAGTGGAACATGACTGAGGCTTCCTCTGCAGAAGGCAGCGTGCAAGTCCAGATAAATTTGCCTATGAACCTACTGTGACCTTTCCAGGTTCCCCGTAGGAAGAAACCCTGGATCTCAACAGGAGGAAAACGCTCTCCTTTGGAATTTCAAGAATTCACCACTAAAACGAATGTCCTCTTCTACTCTGATTGTACCACCGAGAAAGGACAGTGAATGTGGCTACGGTCATAATCGACACATACGTTTTCTGAAATAATGTGAGATTTTTGCCCAAGTTATTCAAGTGGTACAGGGGACTTCACATCTGACCCGGCAGCCCCTCCAATGAAGTAAGTACTTTCTTCTCAGGGGTAGGATCAAGCGCGCCATGTGTAAAATGAATTGAGGTCTTTGCAGAAAGGTGCTGTGCAAATAACTGGTATTACCGTGTTCCCATCTTGATATAGAGCTCATTTCAATCATGGTATTAGGAACAAAAGTAATGTGTTCAGTTATTGTGAGCTTCAGTTGGCTTTTTCAGGAGCTTCAAATTCAATTACATTCTGAGATGAACATGAAATCCATTGAACAGCTGGATGAATGGTGATCTTATTTACCCAATTCTCTTTAAATTCCAGACTTTCATAAGACAATCAAATGCCTCTTGTGTGCTTTCACATTCTAGTGAATTTTGCAAGGAGAAAACAGAATTATTTTAAGCATGCTCCCGAAAAGGATTTCATACTTATGTACGTACATACAAATATATGTGTGTGAATGTATCATATTAACAAAAGCTAAATTATTTGTTCATTCAACAATGCAACAATCATTGTATACAATCACGTATACTCTAACTGACTTATAGCAAGTGTATTTTAGGGGTTCAATGTCTCAGATTATATAGCTATTACCTTCCAGAGATGGACTTGCCTTAAACTGGCTAGCACTTTCTTACTTTCTTTTTTATTTAAACTTTACTAAAACAGCTGGGTGCAGTGGCTCATGCCTATAATCCCAGCACTTTGGGAGGCTGAGGTGGGAGGAGTGCTTGAGTGTGAGACCAGCCTGGGCAACATGACAAGACCCTGTTTCTACAGAAAATTAAAACATTAGCTGGGCATGACGACATGCATCTGTGGTCCCAGCTACTCATGAGGCTGAGGCAGAATGATCCCTTAAGCCCAGGAGTTCAAGGCTGCAGTGAGCTATGATTACGCTACTGCACTCTAGCCTGGGCAACAGAGCTAGATCCTGTCTCAAAATAAATGAATAAATAAATAAACTTTAATACCAAAACAAATATTTTCTCATCATTACAAGACTTTATTTCACAAATTACGTTCCGAATATTCTATCCTAGTCTTTAATCTATAGGCAAATATTTGTGCATACATGCCCATAAAATTAGAGTTATGTTAGACTGAATAGTAATAGGTTATTTGCCATGGCAGAACCCAAATGTAAGGCTCCCATGGGCTGTAGAAGTATGAAGGTGGAGAGCTTATAACATCCTGGAAAGAATGTGTGGTTTGTGGGGTGAGGGTGTAAGACAAGGGCTTAACAGAATACAGTCTTGGAATTGAAATTGAAAACATCAAGAAAACAGCAAGGAATGAAGCAAAAAAAAAAAAAAGTGAGATAATGTTGTCTAAGAAAATAAGATGATGGGCCGGGCGCGGTGGCTCACGCCTGTAATCCCAGCACTTTGGGAGGCCGAGGCGGGTGGATCACGAGGCCAGGAGTTCGAGACCATCCTGGCTAACACGGTGAAACCCCGTCTCTACTAAAAATACAAAAAATTAGCCGGGCGAGGTGGCGGGCGCCTGTAGTCCCAGCTACTCGGGAGGCTGAGGCAGGACAATGGCGTGAACCCGGGGGGCGGAGCCTGCAGTGAGCCGAGATTGCGCCACTGCACTCCAGCCTGGGCGACAGCGAGACTCCGTCTCAAAAAAAAAAAAAAAAAAAAAAAAAAATAAGATGATGAACAAGGATCTGTTATATTCTGTTCCTTTACTGGTTAATAGTATGGAGGGTGCAGAGTTTCATACTCCTTAAGAGTATGAAGAGTTTCCAAACATAGGAACTGATTATTAAGTGTATGACTGGTTTTAACCTAACACACTAGGTTGTAATGATCACTAGGAAGCAACATGGTTTCACGAAAAAAGGTGAAACCAGAATCATGTGTCTGCTATTCATGATAGAAAAGATGGAGCATTTCATCAGCACAGCAGAGCTGGGTTTCAGCAGTGTGTGGCCGAGTCTCCCTTGACATCACCATAAGATAGAAAGTACTGAACCAAATGGAAGAGGAACTGGGGGAGTCCCAGGGGGCTGAGTAGTCATGACTCCCCCGAAAATGTCAGCAAGAGGAGTGAAACCCTGAAGGGCAGTTTCAAGTGGCATGCCACCTGAGTAAGCTCTCCTTCCCATCCTATGCAAATTTAATCATCAATTTTCATAAGGCCAGAACAGGCTTGCATCTTATTGTGGAGACACAAGTCAGGAGGAGCAGCACATGCAATGGTTGGCTCGTTCAGTCCTCACAAGTCCCCTGGCAAGTGGCAGAGATGAGGCAAAATGAAGAAAAAAAGAGTCAACGGAGATAAATGACAGCCTAACAACCAAGATGTTACTATGTCTCATCTGACTTAGCAATCCGGGATCTCGGAATAGACAATTTAAGGATAGCTTATTATTTATAGTAATAGCGACTGCACTGCTGTCGGAAAGAAAATGGCATCAGAATGCATAATGGCAATAGCTCCCTACTCCAAAATTTAAAACCCACATCATTTCAGGTGACGTGAACAGAAATACGGGAGCCAGAACAGGGACTGCTGATGGTAGCCAGGTGCTTCTGGCCAGCCGAGATCCTGAGTGCATTGTTTCCAGTCCTGGCGTCATAATTTAAGTGGGGCTTTGACCAAGTTGAGGCAGTCAAGAAGCATGAGGGCCACAGTCAAGAGGGCACAGAGCCATGCCTGTGACAAGCGGTGGACACGCTGCAGAGATGCACACCACCAACACACACAAGTGATGTTGAAAAACGGAAGATCACGTATGCCTCACAGACACAGGTTGCAAAGAAGCGGATTTGGGTTTGGGAGGCCAAGGTAGGCAGATCGCTCAAGCTCAGGAGTTCGAGACCAGCCTGAGCAACATGGCAAAACCCCGTCTCTATTAAAAAAAAAAAAAAAAAAAAAAAAAAAAAAAACACTTAGCTGGGTGTGGTGGCCTGCACCTGTAGTCCCACATTCTAGGGAGACTGGGGTGGGAGAATCACCTGAGCCTGGGAGGCGGAGATTGCAGTGAGCTGAGATCGTGCCACTGCACTCCAGCCTGGCAATAGAGCAAGACCCTGTTTCAAAATAAGTAAATAAATAAAAATAAAGGCTGCGCATGGTGGCTCATGCCTGTAATCCCAGCACTTGGGGAGGCCAAAGTGGGCAGATTACCTGAGGTCAGGTGTTCGAGACCAGCCTGAACAACATGGAGAAACCCTGTGTCTACTAAAAATACAAAATTAGCCAGGCGTGTTGGCGCATGCCTGTAATCCCAGGTACTCGGGAGGCTGAGGCAGGAGAATCACTTGAACCCAGGAGGCAGAGGTTGTGGTGAGCTGAGATAGCACCATTGCACTCCAGTCTGGGCAACAAGAGGGAAACTCCATCTCAAAAAAAAAAAAAAAGAAAATAGAAAAAAAAAAGTGGATTTGGGGTTTATAATAAGGAAGAAATTTCTATTGATTAGAACATTTCAAAAGTGGAATGATCTGACGCATGAAGTAAACTACATGGGCCTGGAAAGGAAAGCACTTCCTCTGTTTCTCCATCTGGCTGGGCCTTCCTCATGTCTAGGGAGAATTACTAACCTGCCCTCACCACTGTAATTTAAGATTCTTTCTTCTTCCCTATGCTCTATGAATGCTCGCTGTATATTCTTATTAGATCACTTTGCAGTACATTTTCATCACGGGCTTTCCTGGTTGCCTCCCCAAACAAACTGTAGAGAGCAGGAAAAAAACTGTCATTCTTCTCATGTCCTGAGCACCTAATGCATTATTTGCACATCATGAAACTGAGTAAATGCAGTTGAATAGGTACAAGAGGCCCACGTTTCAGCTTAGAAAAGTACAAATGACTGCAGATAATCTAACAATTGGCTGAAAGTGAGAAGAAAAGGCAAGAAAAGAAATTAAAAATTAACGTGAAGTGAGAAAATGGAAATCATGGAGGAGGCTGCCATTGGAGACAGCAGAGATGTTGCTGTGACCTGACCTGATGTTGAGATCTTGGGTTAGAGCACCAAGGTATTCCGTTACTCACAATGGTATATTGAGCACTTGCTACATGCTGGGCACTCTGTGACAACCCTGGGCCCTGGGCTTTGTCATGATTGCCATCTCACAATTGAGTAATCAGTCTTAGAGAGTTCAAGGCACTTGCTGGCATTATAGGCTGGTAAGTTATTCCAGGATAGGAATTTCATTCTGTCTCATCCCAAAGCACTTTGTTCCAAAGAACTAAAAACAGCCTGCCAAAATGCAGACACTAGGAAAATAAAGTGGAAAAGTCACGGTAAAAGAAAAATCAAATTATGAAAAATAAAGCCAGGAGTGATATTGTATATGCCATAGTTCCTATTAAGGTAGCAAGTTCTGGAGTCAAAGAAAGCCCTATGTTTTGGTTTCTGGGTCATTTCGTTTTACCCGGAACTCTGCAACTTAACCTCAGTTCATTTCCTAGCTCATGACTTTCTGACTTTTGTGCTTGCTAACCACAGTGAGAAAGATGTTTTGCATTACAACAAGCACACTCATATTTTATCCTTTTTTTTTCTTTTTTTTTTTTTTGAGATGGAGTCTCACTGTTGTTGCCCAGGCTAGAATTCAGTGGCACAGTCTCAACTCATTGCAACCTCCACCTCTTGGGTTCAAGCAATTCTCCTGCCTCAGCCTCCTGAGTAGCTGGGACTACAGGCGTCCCCTACCAAGCCCAGCTAATTTTTGTACTTTTTTAGTAGAGACAGGGTTTCACCATGTTGGCCAGGCTGGTCTCAAACTCCTGACCTCAGATGATCCGCCCACCTCAGCCTCCCAAAGTGCTGGGATTACAGGCATGAGCCACCGCGCCCGGCCATTTTATCCCTTTTTAACACTTGGGCTGTGACTTGCCAATTTAAAACATCTCACTATTTATTAATTATATTATCACTGATATATTTCAATGATCCGTATATTATGCAATCGATTTGACAGAGCTTGCTTTGATTCCCAAGTAAAGGATAGCACCTTTATTCATACAGCAATATATAGTTCATAAGACACAGTCAGTTCTGCTATAACATGATACATGTGTTCTGAAAAACCACCTCATTATACAAAATTGCACAACAAAACCATGAGGCTTATGGAGAAAATCAGGTTAGCAGAATAACACTCAAAAGCTTTACCAGTGACACATAAATTTTTTAAAAGAGAGAAAATAAAAATGGTAGCACAATTTTGCATGTTTTACGTGGTTAAAAATACATAAATAGTCCAATGAATGTGACAATTTATCTGGAAGCTTGCTTGTGGAAGTTTGCCTGTGGAAGGATCACAGTAGGTGAGTTTTTGTGAAGGGGCAGAGGAGAGTCATCTGAAATGGGGCAGAAACTTGTAACACCACGTGCAGATGTCTGGGCTCCTAACATGCAGGTTGAACAGAGGTTGCTGGTTGAAGTTTGAGGTACACGTGTTTTGTGTATTCCTGTATATACTCTGTGGTTAAGCTGGATGTAGGTTTCTGAGTTCACTTAGTATTTCTTGAGATGAAATCATACATAAGCAAACTTAAAATTAGCATTATGTGTAAATTTCTCCCTACTATATCAATTGCATTAGAATAGATTTGCATTTCAATATGTGTTACAGAATTGACTATTCATAAAATAATGTATAAAATATTATACATGTTATCTTATTTTATGCAATGAACTTATAAAATAGATATTATTTTAGTTCCCCATCCTACCTCTCAGATGAAGAAACTGAGTCCAAAATGATTTCAGGACTTCAAAAAACTTTTTTATTCATACATAATATTTGTATATGTTTATGGGGTACGTGAGATATTGTGTTACAGGTATAGAAAGTATAATGATGGGCCAGGCATGGTGGCTCATGCCTGTAATCCCAGCACTTTGGGAGGCTGAGGTGGGCAGATCACCTGAGGTCAGGAGTTTGAGACCAGCCTGGCCAACATGGCAAAACCCCTTCTCTACTAAAAAAGTACAAAAATTAGCTGGGCATGGTGGGAACACCTGTAGTCCCAGCTACTTGGGAGGCTGAGGCAGGAGAATTGCTTGAACCCGGGAGGTGGAAGTTGCAGTGAGCTGAGATCATGCCATTGCACTGCAGCCTGGGGGATACAGCGAGACTCTGTCTCCAAAAAAAAAAAAAGAAAGAAAGAAAAAAAGAAAGGGTAATAATCAAGTCAGGGTATTTGGGTATCCATCACCACAAGCATTTATCACTTCTGTGTGTTGAGAACATTTCAACCTCTCTTCTAGCTATTTTGAAATGTACAACACATTGTTGTTAACTATAGTCATCCTACTCCGCTATCAAGCATTAGAACTTATTCCTTCTATGTTTGTACCCATCAACCAACTCCTCTCTACACACACACACACCCTTACATCCTTTCCAGCCTCTGCTGTCATTCTACTCTCTACTTCCATGAGACCAACTGCTTTAGATTCCACATGTGAGTGAGAACATATAATATTTGTCTTTCTGTGCCTGGCTTAATTCACTTATCATAAGGACTTCCAGTTCCATCCATGTTGCTGCAAATGACGTTACTTCATTCTTTTTTATGGTTGAATAGTATTCCATTATATATATATATATGTATATACACACACACACACACACCCACACACGTATACATATATATACCCCATTTTCTTTCTCCATTCATCTGCTGATAGACACTTAAGTTGATTTCATATGTTTGTTATTGTAAATAATGGTGCAATAAATATGGGATTCATGTTTCCCTTTGATATACGAATTTCCTTTCCTATGAACACCCAAGTAATGGGATCTGTGGATCATATGGTAGTTCTATTTTCAGTTTTCCGAGAAACCCATACTATTTTCTATAATGGCTGTAGTAATTTACATTTTCACCAGCCGTATATGAGAGTTCCCTTTTCTCCACATCGTCACCAGCATTTGTTATTTTTGGTCTTTTTAATAACAGCCATTCTAACTGGGATGAGATGATATCTCGTTGTGGTTTTGATTTGCATTTCCCTGATGATTAGCCATGTTGAGCATGTTTTCATGTACCTGTTGGCCATTTGTTTATTTTCTGTTGAGAAATAACTATTTAGATCTTTTGCCCATTTTTTATGGGATTATTTGGGTTTTTGCTATGGCATTGTTTGAATTCTTTATGTATTCTGGATATCAGTCTAATTTAGAAACTCTTGTTGTCTATTAACAGTATATCAGATCTCAAATACAAGTGTTCTTTTTCCAATTTCTCCATGCTTTTCCCTAAATTATTTCCCATAAATACCATTTAAGATTTTATATTTTAACTTTTTTTTTTTTTTTTTTTTTTTTTGAGACGGAGTCTCGCTCTGTCGCCCAGGCTGGAGTGCAGTGGCGGGATCTCGGCTCACTGCAAGCTCCGCTTCCCGGGTTCACGCCATTCTCCTGCCTCAGCCTCCCGAGTAGCTGGGACTACAGGCGCCCGCTACCACGCCCGGCTAATTTTTTGTATTTTCAGTAGAGACGGGGTTTCACCTTGTTAGCCAGGATGGTCTCGATCTCCTGACCTTGTGATCCGCCCGCCTCGGCCTCCCAAAGTGCTGGGATTACAGGCGTGAGCCACCGCGCCCAGCCAACTTTTTCATTTAATCTGACACATACACATAAGTAGATTTAAGTTAAAAAATACTTATTTCAATAAAAAAGTCTGCATCATAACTTTATAAATATGACATGCCTAATCACTCATAACATACACTTTTTATATGTGTTTCAATAAGGAACTATATCCTCATCTTATAACTCTGATATTTTTCTGGTTATCATAGTAAATCTACCTATCAATAGTTGTATTTGTATATTTGAAGTTATATTTACATATACTCTAATATATAACTGAGTATATTTAAATTTAGTCCCTTTCATTATTATTTCACGTATTATTGAAAAAAATTGAATTTGCAGCATAAAAGCTAATTCATAAAGGAAATAGAGGAAGAAATGTACATACCTATACGCCTTGGCAGAAGAATTATGATGTATTCATCCAAACATTTATTCATTCAATAAATATCTATTAGTGCCAGTTCTAATAAGATCTGTGCTAGGGACTGAGGCCATAGGGTTTCATGCCATTTAACAAACATAACAAATGCTTATTTTGTGCCAGAAGAGATGTTGGTTTCTCTGGACACAAAGATGAAAAGGATGCAGCATCTGATACAGAAACGGGTTCTGCAAAGAGTGGTAAGTGCTGTAAGAAAAGTACTCAAGAGCACTGAAGAGGACGGGGCATCTGAGCTCACCTGAGTCAGGCAGGAGCCTCCAAGAAGAGGAGACACTGAGCTGAAGGATCAGTACAGGACGCAGGACGGAGGGAAAGCCACAGGGTTCCAGGCGGGGCACGCAGCAGGCACAAATGTGAACACAGACGCAGCCCTGGGGCAAGCAGTGCATGATCGTACGGGGCAGGTGGGAATGCGGCTGAAGTGGGATGAGGTGAAATCCAAGGAAACAACTTCCTGTTGTGCTTGGATGAACGTCACTGCTCAGGTGGGACAGTTCATACACCCTACAAGGCCAAAAGCTATGTGGTTATATGAGTAAGACCTGCTGGTCCCCTCTGGGAATTACTCAGCTACGTATGTCCAGGATCCAGGGGGCATAGCTGAGATCAATGTTGCCAGTCGGCCTCATCCTACCGACCAGGATTCTGTTGACAATATCTCAATCTAATGTTGTATGAGACAAATTAAACACATTTTGTCCCAGCCCCTGTCAGTGTGTCTAATCTGAGCTGCTGACAGGGTGACAGACTTGTGTGAAAACTTCAGTCCAACCAAGAAGGTGGAGGGACAAAAGGGTGAATTGTGGAGAGGGATGTCCCCGCACGCCTGTGCTCATGTCCCAGTTCACAAGGCTTAACTGTCCTCAGATCCTGAGCTAGCTCTGCAGCGAGTTGCATAGTATCAGGTAGGCTGAGGGAGTTACAGCCAGCACTACTCATTCCTGCTGGGGCAGGGGTGGGGACTGGCCTGTCCATGCTTTAGAAAGGCTGCCGAGCTCATGGCCATGAGTGCCTCAACTACGGCACCACCCACTGCGTGCATAGTCACCATCTGGGTGTATCACATTTCATGGAACTTCGAGACAGGAGTACTGGGGCCACCACACTGATGCTGTCAGCCTTGCTGTGCACAGGAATCTCATTGCCTACTTCCAGCTCTGATGAAGCCACCTCAAGCCAAGCTGCTTGCTTGCTTAGTTGTTCTTGTTGGAGTCATGCCATCCTCTGTGACGTTGGGGTTGTGCCCTGACATCGGGCAGGAGATGAAAGCAGGAGTTTCCCATGCAGCCAGACTTGGATGACCTTCAGCTTTGAATGCATTGTGTCTTAAAGAGAATCCATGATGAGATTTCAAGACAGAGGTGGTGGTGGTGGTGGTGGTGCCCCAAGCAGCTTTCATTCCTGTGACATTAAGGACTTCAAGGTACAGAGGCTAAGAGACGTGAAGAAAGACAGCAAGACTGAGATAGAAATGAAAGAAGGAGCCAGGCCCAAATAAGTATTTCTGTTTCTGTCTGATCCTTGGCTATTTTCCAATCCTCAACCAAGATGAAAACTCCCCGAATTTGGCTTTGGATTAGAATTGCTCTGTCCCTCGGATGAGAGGCAGTAAAAACTTCCTGGCTGAACTGCTGCTCTGCCGGGCCTTCACTTCACTTCAAACGGCATGCATTGTCTAATTTGCATAGTTCTGCATTTGTGATTTGAGCTAAGTTTGTGGAGATGGAAAAGATGAGGTTCTTCCTATCCTAACAGCTAAAACAGATGGCCATGGATCCAATTTGTTTAGAATAAATTACTGCTACCGTAAGTGGAATAATTTACCCATATGATTTTTGTAAAAATCCTTCAGCTAAATCAGCTAGTCTCAGTAACACTACTTGGATAATGACTCTCCTTAGAGAATATAATTTACTGAATACCAGGTAAACAGAAATTAGCAAATGCAACTGAGCAGTGATTTTGAGCATCTAGGTGATGATGTAAGGAATCTACATAATATAAAATTGTAATAATTTACAAACAAAAAACTTACCAACTTATATTAGAATCTAAGATCCCACACATGATAAGGTACTGTATTATCACCACTAAAAAAGACCTAGTTATGGTTTAGAACTCTTCCATTATAACATAGACCTCATTCCAATCAGAAACTCTCTCTTTATAGGACAGTCACAACTTTTGTCTCCAGGAATTTCTTTCAAGCTGTTGATATCCTGCCTTCAAGTTTTGATGCTCATACTTTTAAAATTTTACTAGAATGTGTCAAGGGAAAATTCCTAAACAATGAGAAAGCCATTTAAAATGCCAATTGTGATAGTTAATTTGGGCTGTCAACTCGACTGTATACCCAGACAGCTGGTAAGGCATCCTTTCTGGGTGTGTCTGGGAAGGTGTTTCCAAAAAATAAAAAGAAATGGCATTAGAATCAGTGGACTGAGTAAGAAAGATCCACCCTCACACAGTGTAGACAAGCACCAATCGATCAGCTGAAGTCCCCAATAGAAAAAAAGGCAGAGAAGAGGTGAATTGTCTCTCTCTCCTGTAGCTGGGACACCTGTCTTCTCCAGCCCTTGGACATGAAAACTTCAAGTTCTGCAGCCTTTGGACTCCAGGACATGCAGCAGCAGTGCCTCCGTGTTCTCAGGCCTTCAGCCTCTACCTGAGTTACACCACCAGCTTCCTTGGTTCTGGGCCTTCAGACTTGGACTGAGCCATGCTACTGGCTTCCCTGATTCCCGAGCTTGCAAATCTATGGTGGAAATTATAATCCTCCAAAACCACATGAGCCAGTTTTTCCTAATAAATCCCTTCTCATATATCTATACCTATCTGTTATAGATATGTGTATGTATATACTTTTTTATTGTTTCTATCTCTCTGGAGGACTAATACAGATGTTGGTCCCATGAGAGGTTCTGGAGAAGGAGAATTTTAAGGATGAGTTCCCAGCATTGGTTTTAGGTGCTCTGGCATTATCTCTCTCATCAGATTGCACTTTAAAATGCTAAGGACTGCAGGCTGGGCGCGGTGGCTCACGCCTGTACTCCCAGCGCTTTGAGAGGCCAAGGCGGGTGGATCATGAGGTCAGGAGATTGAGACCATCCTGGCTAACACGACGAAACCCCGTCTCCACCAAAAATATAAAAAATTAGCCGGGCATGGTGGCAGGCGCCTGTAGTCCCAGCTACTCAGGAGGCTGAGGCAGGAGAATGGCGTGCACCCGGGAGGCAGAGTTTGCAGTGAGCCGAGATCGCGCCACTGGACTCCAGCCTGGGCAACACAGAGAGACTCCATCTAAAAAAAAAAGTAAACGATAAAAAAGCTAAGGACTCTATTACTAGTAGTACAGGGAGCACTGATAATCCGTAATGTAACTCTTCATACAGACACACAAAATATCTGCATTAGATTCTCCTAATCAACCCCTTATAGAAGGCAGAAAGTTTTTTCTTTTTTCCTTCCAACCTCATTTTAGGTTCAGGGGGCCCATGTGCAGGCCTGCTGCACAGACCATCTCCTCACCCAGGTAATGAGCACAGAACCCCATAGGCAGCTTTCCAATCCTCACCCTCCTTCTGCCTCCACCCACAAGCAGGCCCCGGTGTCTACCACTCCCCTTCTTGTGTCCATGTGTACTCAATGTTCAGCTCCCACCTGGAAGTGAGAACATGTGGTTATTTGGTTCCCTACTTCTCTGTTCATTGGCCCAGGACAATGGCCTCCAGATCATCCAGGCTGCCACAAAGGTCATAACCTTGCATCTCCCTGTGGCTGTATAGTATTTCATGGTGTTGATGCACCACACTTTCCCCAACCAGTCCACTGCTGATGGGCATCCACATAAACCCCCTCTCTCTGCTGCTGTGAATAGTGCTGTGATGAACATGTGTGTCCATGTGTCTTTATGGAGGGTTGACTAATACTCCCCTGGGCACATATCCAGCAATGGGACCACTGGGTCGAATAGTAATTCTGTTTCAGATTCCCTGAGAGATCTCCAAACTGCTTTTCACAGTGGCTGAACCAATCCACATTCCCACTAGTGGCGTACAAGCTCTCTACCTTCCCTGCAACCTCACCAGCACCTGCTTCTTAACTTTTTAGTGCTAGCCATTCTGACCAGTGTGAGATGGCATCCCACCATGTTTTGGTTTGCACTTCTCCAATGAACAGTGATGTGGAGCATTTTTCCATATGTGTGTTGGCCACATGCGTGCCTATCCTCAAGAAGTGTCTATCCACGCCCCTTACCCCTGTTTCAATGGAGTTGTCTGTTCCTTTCCGGCTGATTTAAGTTCCTTATAGATTCTGGATACTAGATCTCTGTCGAATGCATAGTTTGAGAATATTTTCTCCCATCCTATAGGTTGTTCGCTTTGCTGACAGTTTCTTCTGCTGTGCAGAAGCTGCTCAGTTCAACCAAGTCCCACTTGTCAATGTCTGCCTTTGTTGCAGTTGCCCCTGGAGTCTTCATCCTGAAATCCCTGCTGGCACCAATGTCCAGAATGGTACTTCCCAAGATTTCCACAGCTTTATGTGTTACATTTAAGTCTTTATCTTGAGTTGATCTCCATACATGGTAAACGGAAGAGGTCCAGTCCCAATGTCCCCACACATGGCGAACCAGTTATCTCAGCACCATACACCAAAACAGGGGGTCCTCTCCCCACTGCCTGTCATTTTTGGCCCATAGGCAAGAAACGTAGTGACTCTATATAATACTTTCAAACCTGTGGAAAACTAAAGAATATGATGGTTGCCTGCTCCTAATGTCACTGACAGAATGGAGAAAGAAGAGGGTTAGGTCAATGATGTAGCTTGGATACTTGCCAACGTGCCCATCTCATGTTGAAACGTAATCCCCAATCTTGGAGGTCGGGCCTGGTGGGAGAGGTGTTTGGACCGTGGGAGACCCCTCATGAATGGCTTGGACTATCCCCTTGGTGATGAGTGAGCTCTCGCTCTGAGTTCACACAAGTTCTGGTTGTTTAAAAGTGTGTGGCCCCTCCCCTCATTCTCCCTCTCCCTTTCTTTCTTGTTCCAGCTTTCACCGTGTAACGTGCCTATTCCCTCTTCACCTTTAGCCATAATTATTGTTTCCTGAGGCCTCACCAGAAGCTGACCAGATGCCAGCACCATGCTTCCTGTACAGCCTGCAGAACCGTGAGCCAATTAAACCTCTTTTCTTTATAAATTACCCAGCCTCAGCTATTTCTTTATAGCAATCCAAGAATGGCCTAACGCAATCAGGGATTTGAATTTCCATATCACGCTCCACATAAATAACCTAAGAATTTCTAGGTATGCCTTGAAGGAGAATCTTCTCTCTGTAGCTATGGGACAGAAATGGCCAAAAATCAAACACTACTCCTCATCGTGTGATTCTGCCTGAATTACAACAAAAGTTGAACTCTCAGCCTTGCAAGCTATCTACTGTTAAAGTGAAGACCTTGGTTGGGGAAAAATGGGATCTTGCAAGTTGTGAAGGGGACATGTGAGAAGCCCCTGATGAGGCTGGGGACACTGCATCTCTGAATTCTGATGAGTTATTTTTGCCAAAGAAAGTGGCCTCCCCACCTGCAGTGGTATTGGCCTCTCCACTTATGTCTAAGGAGATTAACCCTGCAGTACCTGAGAAAACAGCACTACTCCCCTGAGACAGTTGTCAAGCAAGACAAAGCTAATGCTCCTCAGGACCCACCCCAGTTTCTCTTTGCTTCTAGACTTATAACCAGACCCACATCCCAGCAGCCCCTAAAGACAAGGTACAATGTGTGGCCCAAGAGAAGCTGCCTGCTCTGCAAAAGAACTCCTTGAGTTTCCTGATTTGTACAAGCAGAAATCTGGGGAACACATGTGAGACTAGATATTAAGGGTGTGGGATAGTGGTAGAAGGAACATAAAGTTGGATCAGAGGATCAGACTGAATTCATTGACATGGCTCCACTAAGCAGAGATTCTACATTTATTGCTGTAGCTTGGGGAGTTAGAAAGGGTTCTAATGGTTGGTTGGTTGGTTGGTTGGTCAGTTGGTTATCTAAAACATGGAGCAAAATATGCCCCACTGTGAATTAGTTGGAAATCCCTGATTTCTCCTGCCTTAACTTAGAGGAAGAGATTTAAAGGCTTAGGGTGATTGAAATGCAAGAGTGGAATTGTCACTTGGGACTCACTCACTCACCCCGGAAGGGTCCAAAAGACATACCGTTCACCAATACCTTGTGAAACAGACTCATGAGGGGAGCCCCAGCATCTTTGACGAGCTCCCTGATTGTGTGGAACCACAAACACTCAACCGGAAAACTTAATGCGATAACATAATTGGATCCCAGGGTGACAGGAGCCAGATGGCGGTACTCAGTGGCCAAAGGAAAAGTAGATGGAGTTACTGGGAGGCACAGCATAGGCAAAGCAACCATCAGAATAATCTGATTCATGTAGATCTATGGCATTTGCTAATTATCATGTTTCAAGACGTGAAATAGATGGGATAGCCTAGTAAACTCCTAATTGATCTGCATAAGGAGAAAACTTCAGGTCAAGTAAACAAAAGTCTAACTCAAATCATAAAAAACAGAGAACCAGGGCCCCTTAATTAATTCCCAGACTTGGGCCAGTTTACAGGCCCAGAATCCCTTGAATGAATGGGACGTCAGATCCCCTCCAGGAAGGACCCTAATACACTATCGAAAGTGTATACTGTTGTCTGAGCACGGTGGCTCACGCTTGTAATCCCAGCACCTTGGGAGGCCACGGCGGGAAGATCACGAATTCAGGAGTTCAAGACCAACCTGGCCAACACAGTGAAACTCCGTCTCTACTAAAAATACAAAAATTAGCTGGGTGTGGGGACAGGCGCCTATAATCCCAAATACTCCGGAGGCTGAGGCAGGAGAATCATTTGAACCTGGGAGGTGGAGGCTGCAGTGAGCCAAGGTCGCGCCACTGCACTCCAGCCTGGGCAACAGAGCAAGACACCATCTCAAAAAAAAAAAAAAAGAAAGAAAATGTATACTGTTAATCTTTCCTCCAGTCTTCCCCAAAGGGACCCAGAGCCTTTTACCATGGTAACTGTGCTTTGAGGGAAAGGAAACAATCAGACCTTTGAGAGACTAATGAACATTGGCTCTGAACTGATGCTGATTCCAGGAGACCTGAAATGTTACTGCAGCCCTCCATTTAAAGTAGGGCTTATGGAGGTCAAGTGGTCAATGGAGTTTTAGTTCAGGTTTGATTTACGGTAAGTCAAGTGGGCCCCTTAATGCATCCCATAGTCAGTTCCCCAGTTCCAAATGCATAATTGGAATAGACATGTTCAGCAGCTGGCAGAATCCCTACACTGGTTCCCTAACCTGTGGGGTGAGGGCTAGTATGGTGGGAAAGGCCAAATGGAAGCCATTAGAGCTGCCTCCACCTAGAAAATAGTAAACCAAAGGTGATACTGCATTTTTAGAGGTATGCAGAGATCAGCGCCACCACCGAAGACTTGGGGTGGTGATTCCCAACCACATCCCTGTTCATTTCTCTTATTTGACCTGTGCAGAGAACAGATGGCTCTTAGAGAATGAGAGTGGATTATCCTAAGTTTAACCAGGTGGTGACTCCAATTGCAACTACTTTACCAGATGTGGTTTCATTGCTTGAGCAAATTAGCAATACTCTGCTACCTGATTATGCAGCTATTGAAGCTGCCAAATGTTTTTTTCTCCATACCTGTCCTTAAGGCCCACAAGAAGCAGTTTGCTTTCAGTTGGCCAGGCCAGCAACGTATCTTCACTGTCCTGCCTCAGGGGCATGTCCACTCTCCAACCCTATGTCATAGTTTCGTTCAGAGATCTTGATTGCCTTTCCCTTCCACAGTTATCACACTGGTCCGTTACAGAGATGGTTTATGTGCATTGAACCTCAAGAGCAGGAAGTAGCAACCACTCTAGTCTTGCTGGTAAGACAGTTGTGTGTCACCCCCAGACCTTTCAATCCTCTTTACACTGCTCCACTTTTTTCCCATAGCAAGTATCCCCTTCTAACATCCTAGGTAATTCACTTTGTATTATGTGCATTGTTTATTATCTGTCTTCCCGGTAGAATGTAAGCTCCAAAAGAGTAGGAATCTTTGTTTTACTCACTGATACAAAGAGTGTCCAGTAGCATAAGCAGGTGTTCAACAAATTTTTTTTTTTTTTTTTGAGATGGAGTCTCTCTCTGTCACCCAGGCTAGAGTGCAGTGGTGTGATCTCGGCTCACGGAAAGCTCCACCTCCCAGGTTCATGCCATTCTCCTGCCTCAGCCTCCCGAGTAGCTGGGACTACAGGCGCCCACCACCACACCTGGCTAATTTTTTTGTATTTTTAGTAGAGACGGGATTTCACCATGTTAGCCAGGATAGTCTCGATCTCCTAACCTTGTGATCCACCCGCCTCAGCCTCCCAAAGTGCTGGGATTACAGGCGTGAGTCACCACACTCAGCCCAACAAATGTTTGTTGAATGAACGAAGTTGGAGAAGTATGTGTTAAAGCAAGGATTCTAAGCAATACTGAACTGGGAGGTGTTGGACACAAAGCGGTGAAGCTGCAGGTTGCAGAAGCAGATGAATTATGGGAATAAAACTGCTGTTGAGACTAAAGTCAATGTCAAGGACAACACATGGAACAGAGAGACAAAACAGCAATGATGGTAGAGTAGAAGTGTCCCAGGAGGCCGGGCACAGTGGCTCACGCCTGTAATCCCAGCACTTTTTGAGGCTGACGCGGGCAGATCACAAGGTAAGGAGATTGAGACCATTCTGGCCAACATAGTGAAACCCCATCTCGACTAAAAATACAAAAATTAGCCAGGCATGATGGCACACACCTGTAGTCCCAGCTACTCGGGAGGCTGAGGCAGTAGAATCACTTGAACCCGGGAGGCAGAGGTTGCAGTGAGCTGAGATTGTGCCACTGCACTCCACCTGGGTGACAGAGTGAGACTCCGTCTCTAAATAAATAAACAAACAAAGAAACAAACAATGGTCCCAGGAACTGCTAAAAGACTTAACAGCAGCACCCCTTCTCTATATGGCTTGATATGGGTCCAAAAGTCTAGAGGAGGAATCCCTCAAACTGGTTTCCTTTAATGTCTCTGTCTACTTTGACTTCGCCTACTGGACCCTACTGCCTTCTCATAATAAAATTTAATAATTGAAAATGTATCTTGAGTAGGAAAAAAGCTAAGAAACAGCAAATGACCTCCAAGTTTGATATTATAAGTCCAGAGAGACACATTCCAGACCGCATAAGGCCACCATGGTTGTGCTGTTTTTTTAAAAAAGTCACTCAGAATCAGTGTATATATCATAACAGCACCTACTTGGGAAATTCACATGAAATACTCATATTCGCTTAGGGTTATTTTTAAAAAGAAAAGAATGAAACCATATTCTGTATTCTCAGATGAATAGTTTTGGAAGAAGAAAATCTCAGCATGAGCATATTGGGAAAAACAATCAACAGGAGTATTTTGGGTTGCAGTCGTGATCACTGCATGTGACTCACCACCACAGCCAAGAAAACTGCCTGTGGGCAATGTTTCCATCAACAAGAGATGGGCGCATCCTGTTGCAGAAAAAAACAATTCCAAATCTCTAGATCGTAATTTCCTTGAAGGTGATTGAAATTACTACACTTCACTGGATATTTGGTGGCCGGCGGGGGATGCAAAGAAAAATAACAAAGAAGAATCCACTGAAAGGTTCTTAGATGTTTAATCAAAAAGCAGCACACTAAACTGTTAAGTCCTGGATCTGTCGTGCAGCGGCAAAGCAGCTGGAGTAGGTATCAGGAAGCTGGTATCCAGGTATGAATCCCTCACTCTTCCTCCCTTTCGGACTTGCTGACTTTCTTGAAGAGGACTCAGATCCACATCTGTCTGTCTTTATGTTGTATATGCATTGGGGTTTGTGATCATATTTAAAAGATTTTTGAGGGGGGGACATAAAATATAATCTACATTGATCAAAACTATTATAGTCTACTAAAATTTATCTTGAGTAAAATAGAAGAAAAGGGCAGTAACGCTTCAGTGAATGTCTTTATTTTCCATTTTATAGGCATTGTTGAATAGATTCCGCATTTGATCATACTATAAAGGCCTCCCCTGACAACGCAGCATCTCGAAAGTAAAATTTAAGGACCTCCTCTAACATAACTCATTCTTGTCCTGCACTCTGAGTTTTCTACCAGGAGAGTTATTCCTGTAAGGCAGTATTTCTAAAAATGCATTCCGAGAACTCTAAGATTCTTCCCTGCCCCATCCCACTCCCAACAGATTTTCCAGTAAAATAAGTTTGAGACATGCTGCGTACAATATTCCCCCTCTTGAAAATGTGTCGTCTATAATAGCATATTAAGGTCTCTGTTTATTGATCCAATAAGTTTGAAAGGTTTGTAAATGTGTCTAGTAAGTTTTGGAAGTGTCTTCCTATGTAAGAAATGAGTAAACAAGCCCATTGGACACGCCTGGGGAAAGCATTCTGAATAGAGTGTCCACCATCTATCTGTCCTGTAAATATGTTAAATTAAATGGGAACAGCAATATATTTATATCATTTGTGAAAGCAAATGATAACAAGTTTGGAAAAGCTTCAGCACAGGGAAAAAAACCATGGTGAGCATGAGAACTGTCAAGGGAGGCCATACCCAATGGGGTACACACCAGGGCACCACATCTAAAACTCTCACAGGCATGACCACTGGGGAGTTGTTGAGACACAGATCCGTGGATGCTCCCTCTCAGAGAATCTGATCCAGCAGGCCCGGGGCCCCAGAATTCACATTTATAACAAGCTCCTAGGGGAGGCTGGTGATGCTGGTCTTAATTAAGAGTCTGTCAAAGAACAAGTCAGCTCTGAGACCCTACCAAGGGACCAACACTGCTTTTGCCTTGTGGGGAGGCGGATAAGAAGCTCGCAGCATGGTCCTTGCCTGCTATCCTGTGAAAGCCAAAATTAACGCACAAAAAAGAACCATACGGTATTTTAATAAAAATAGTTAACTCTTAAATAGCACCTACGATGTGCCAAATACTCCTCCAAGTACTTTACACATACGACCTCCCTGGATTTCAACTGAGGTCCACTGAGGGAAGCACTGCTTGTTACCTCTTTTACCCACATAAGAAAATGAAGCCCAGAGAGATTGAGTGACTCATCCAAGGTCTCCCAGGAATTAAGCCCATAGAGCAGGGCTCCAGAGGCAGTGAACTTCCACTACATTGCCTCTCTCATTGACACATACAGCTGATGGTGTGAAAGTTGATGAGGTTTGGATGCACTGGGGAATGAGGGTGCCTAAGTCAACTTGACAAGCTGTGGTGCACAGCAGACTCAGAGTGACACCACCGGAGAATGTTGCCAGCACCACTGCCATTAGTGACAGAACCACGGCCTGGGCAGACAGGGATTGTAAAAGTCTCCCAGCATGGCCACCGAGTGAGAACCAGGGCCAGGGCCAAGCCTACCTAACATGGAAATTGGCCACATACAGGAGAATTGAGCAAATAAATTAAAATATCCATGACAATGAAAGCCAAGTTCCTCAATACTGGCGAAGGGTGTTCAAATGCAGAAAGCTGGCTGGGCGCAGTGGCTCAGGCCTATAATCCCAACACTTTGGGAGGCCAAGATGAGTGGATCAGTTGAGGTCAGGAGTTTGAGACCAGCATGGCCAACATGGCAAAAGCCCATCTCTACTAAAAATACAAAAATTAGCCAGGCATGGTGGCATGTGCCTGTAATCCCAGCTACTTGGGAGGCTGAGGCAGGACAATCACTTGAACCCAGGAGGCAGAGGTTGCAGTGAGCCAAGATCATACCACTGCACTCCAGCCTGGGTGACAGAGTGAGACTCCGTCTCAAAAAAAAAAAAAAAAAAAAAAGAAAGAAAGAAAACCTGAAGGAATATTCTGGCACCACACACACAAAAAAAGTCACAGAAGACCTGTTCGTATTTCCCCTTTCTGACAGCTTGTGCGGCTGGATAATGAGTGATAAAGGGAGCCGGGGAGGCCAGCCCTATACCACACCTCTATCCTACAGACACCAAGGCTGCAGCAGGACACTCAGAATTTGTCTGCCTACCTGATGGGAAGAGAACACTGGCCACGTGCAGGGCACCATGCCTGTAAACCCAGCACTTTGGAAGGCTGAGGCAGGTGGATCACTTCATCCCAGGAATTGGAAACCAGCCTGAGAAACATGGCTAACCCCCATCAAAAAAGAAAAAAAAAAAAAAAAAAAAAAAAAAACTAGCCAGCATGGTGGTACATGCCTGTAGTCCCAGCTACTCGAGAGGCTGAGGTGGAAAGATTGCTTCAGCCCAATAGTCCGAGATTTCAGTGAGCCGAGATAATGCCTCTGCACTCCAGTCTGGGTGACAGAGTGAGACCCTGTCAAGAAAGTGAGAGAGAAAAAAAAAAAAAACACTAAATTTGGGAGTCAAAAAGTTGAAGAGTTAAATTGCTACAGTGAAAGCAATTACTGTGATTGACCAATATTTACTTTGCGTTTGCAGAACTCAATCTTCTTACAATAGGATTTCTAAAGAAGAGCAGACAGCACCCTGCAGCTGCACTTTGATGAGAAAGAAAATCAATGCTTCTGCATTTGCACACTCAGGAGAAGGGGTGAGGGATAATCATGTCCGCCAGAAATCACTAGTTTGGGTGAAAGTATCACAGGGCTTGGTGGATACCAATAATTTCCTCAAACCACTTAAGCACAGAGAATTCATAAAGCTTCTCAATTCTCCTGTTGCTGCAAAAACATGTTTCCATGGTGTGTGTAACACAGTGAGGGCTACTGGCGTCCAGCCACCTGAGCACGCAAAGCTAGCTAGTAGCACAGCAAAAATAGTATTTCGTACTGATGCAGAGAGCCTGCTCATTGCTAAATCATTATCTAACAAATGTTCAAACCAGCATGACACAAATTATTATTATGGGATGATATAATAACATAACATTTGTGGATACTAGCCCTACGCAGGAGTTTCCATAAAACTCTTTTTAGACAATGTAGGAAAGTTAATATTCTGCAGGGAAGGAGACGGGAGGAGCTCTAAACCTAAGACAGCCACCACCAACTCCATCACCAAGCCGCAGTGCTGTCCTGCTCTCTTCTATCTGGCGTCCTTTGTTCCCAAGAAACCTCATTTTGCAGATCTGTGGACTTTGAATAGATCCTGAGACACAGAGTCACCTCTTATACAGGGTTGAAATATCCAGCTGCCCGGAGCTGGTGGCATGGGGGAGAAAGGCCAACCAGATACTGGTCAACAGTGAGAGGGGTCAAAGCCTGAGAGTGAGGAGCCATCATCAGGCCTGGTACAACAGGCTCTGGGCGCTGACTTGGTGGCACCAGAGGGGCAGAGCATGCGTCTCCTCTCTGCGGCGTACCTGCCACCCTCCACAAGCCCAGCGCTCCACCTCCTAGGAGATCCTGGGGGCACCTGTTCCTGACTCCCCACTGTCGAGTGCTTGGCTTGAGAAGCTGCTGTCGCCTCGCTCCCAACAACCCAAACCCCAAGACAGCCAGAATGTTTCCATCATTCCACCCCACCGCTGTGCTCAAATCTTGTCCCATCCAGAATAAAATCCCGAGTCCCAGCCACGCCTGCGAGTATTCCAATGGTCCGGCCTCCCTCCCTCTCCTTCCCCACGCAGTCCTCCAGGCTGCTCCTCCCACACACCAAAGAGGCTAACCAATGGGGCTGCTGTCCTTGGTTCTAACTTGCTCCCCATACGCATGTGGCTCCTTCTCCACCTCCTTGACGATCTCTGCTTCAAAGACACTTTGTCCAGAAGCCTCCCATGATCAAACACATAAAGCAACTCAAACCTCCCCATCTGATGGGTTTTTGTTTGTTTGTTTGTTTGTTTGTTTGTTTTTTGAGACGGAGTCTCGCCCTGTCACCCAGGGTGGAGTGCAGTGGTGCGATCTCGGCTCACTGCAAGCTCCACCTCCCGGGTTCACATGTTCTCCTGCCTCAGCCTCCCAAGTAGCTGGGACTACAGGCGCCCGCCACCACCCCCGGCTAATTTTTTGATTTTTAGTAGAGATGGGATTTCACCGTGTTAGCCAGGATGGTCTTGATCTCCTGACCTCGTGATCTGCCCGCCTGGGCCTCCCAAAGTGTTAGGATTACAGGCATGAGCCACCACACCCAGCCTGCTTTTTTCTTTTTCTTTTTTTTTTAACTTTCCTTTATTTGTTTTCAAAGCCCAAGCAGACATAGTATACGTTTTACATATTTCTTCATCTCTCTGTGCCTACAGGAATCAAACTCGATAAGAACAGGGTTTTACTTCGTTTGTCCATGAGTACATCCACAGCATTCACAACAGTGCCTGCATATGGTTGCTCAATAAATGTCCACTGTTACTGAATACGGCTGTTCCCTGTATGGTGTAACGTGTGTGACTTTTGGGAAGCAAATCAGAAGATATACTTTGCATCATCTTGCAATTGAGTCTGCAGGGTCTAACTGCATTAACTAATTATGGATCCCTTTGATGGATATCTGGCAATAATGGTGGTTTTTTTAATCATCTGAGATAAAGACTAGTTGTGCTGCGATTGAACTGTAGCTGTGCATTAGTAATTGATTCCTCAGGGATAAATGGATGGCTGTAATTGGGAGTAACTAAGATAAGATTTAATAAGCGTCTTGAACTTTCCCAAGAATCTAGTTGCTCAGATTAGTCTGTCATCTCTGAAAGCTATAAGTAATGCAAACAATTTATATATCACTCTCAGAAACTTGCGACTTAGGGGATGTCATGCGAGTGCTGAAGAATCTGACTCTTTTCATAATCTGATTTGCCTACTGCCGATGTATGTGCACGGTGGATTTTTAAAAGGTCATTGTAATTTCTGTAGTTATTTTTATTAAATTACAGTGATTAATTTTTAGGATACATTTTGTTTTCACTATTCCAGGGAAGTTTTTAACAAAATTGGTGTACCCTTTAAATAGGAAACAAAAAAGAAAATAAACCCCCCAGACCACCCACTCATTCTGCAGCAGCTGGAGAATGAATGTACCTGCCCCTCTTTGTTCCTTATTCACCACCCACTGGAGGAGTCTACATGGGGGGGTCCCAAGTCTCCCCAACAGGAGTGCCTCTCACAGCTGGTCACTGGGTCCTAAGTGATGCATGAGCTGGCTACATAGGACCGAACACTGGGACAGGTCACACCTACGAGCTGTGCTTGGTACAGAACAGGCATTCAACAGAAGTTGGAAACTTTATTCACTTTATCACCTACTCACCCATTTGTTAACACTAACTGGTCAGAAAATTTGGAGACATTCAGAGTCAAGGAGAAATTAAAAGCTACCCATTTTCTTACTAACAAAGAGACATTTCCCACGTCCCACAGCCCTGTCTCATCTCCCCCTCCTGCGCTGGATTCATGCACCTGTTTCTGTATCAAGAAACTACCATGGATGGTCCCAGTGCCCTGCTGCCCCCCTCACACCCCCTCAACAAGGGTAAAGCTGCTCAAGGTTCAGTCTCTTTCTCACCATAGAGCCACGATTCTTAAATTTCAAAAGAGGAATTTTTTTTCCTTTATACCCCACCCCAGAGAGAGATGCCCTTCTCCCCAGCCCCAAGTGAGAGTTTAAGTTTGCTCTTATGCAGAGAATGCTCAAGTGCTCCAGAGCAGTGATCCTCCTGCCAAGGAGAGGAAGGAAGACAGGAAAGGAGGAGGAGGAGGAGATCTGGCAACGCTGGTGCTTTTTCCTGGAGATTCACAGCAATGGTGACTCCAAAATCTTTCTCACAAGCTCTGTTCTCTTTCCTGAGCTGCATATTTCTCCCTCCCAGACAGACGTGTTCACCTCACCTGAGATGCCAAATATCCAAAACCTCAGCTTCCCTGCAAAAAAGAAAGAAAACCATGCCTCTTGCTTTCCTCTCTTTGGTAACAGTTGCCCCGTCTTCCCAAGACCCTCAGCTTGGGAGCCGGGACACATTCTCTTCGTGAACAGTCTTGACATTTTGCCCTGTAATCATTCCCAGCTCCACTGCCATTATCAGCATACAAAATCACATCATGGTTCACATGTATCTTCCCAGCCAGACTCCAGTCAGTCCCCTCTCCTCTATCCATCCCACTCCAGTGCTATCCACCTACCCCGATTCTCATCTGTCTCAAACACCACTTCGATCCTACTTTTCCCCTCATCAAGAATTTCTGCCGGCACGGTGACTCACACCAGTAATCCCAGCATTTTGGGAGGCCGAAGGAGTCAGATCATGAGGTCAGGAGATCAAGACCATCCTGGCTAACACGGTGAAACCCCGTCTCTACTAAAAATACAAAACAAAATTATCTGGGTATGGTGGTGGGCGCTACTTGGTTCCAGCTACTCGGAAGGCTGAGGCAGGAGAATGGCATGAACCTGGGAAGCAGAGGTTGCAGTGAGCCGAGATCCCACCACTGCACTCCAGCCTGGGTGACAAGGTGAGACTCCGTCTCAAAATAAAGAAAAAAAAATTTTCAATTATTGCTGGCTGCCTATCAAATTAAATAAATCTCTTCACTCTTTAATATGATCCAAATTTTATATAATATATAATCACTGTATCATATATAGCATATATCAAACACACACACACACACACACACACACACACACACACACACCCAAAGTCCTGGCCAAATGCAATACCCTGAGCATCTTCCTGCCTTTCCACCTCCACGTCTTCGGATTCTACCCAATGCCTGGAATTGAAGTCTTTATTACTGCAAGGCTGATCTCAAATAGCCCCTGAGTAACATCTAGATGCCACCTACTCACACAGCACCTCTTCCCTCTGAATCATATATTGCTTTTTTAAAGTTCCATGGACTTTGCCTTAATTTTTTTAAATAAAAATTTAAATACTCAATATTAAGTTCCATAAGGGCAAAGACTGTCTTAGGCATCTTTATTTTTCCAGTTATTCATATGATATTTGATAGACTGTAGTTGCTCAATGTATGTATTTGGCAAATGAACTTGAAAATATCTCAATAGGAGGACTATTCATGTTAAAATTAAAAGTGATTTAATTTTAATTAAGTTAAATTATAGTCAGCTCCCAACTGACACCAACCAAATGTGGGAGGACTGGGCTGCAAAATATATTACTCAACTATGACCATAACGTTAGTCCTCAGGATGTTTCAGAAAAATTTTGAAATTAACTGAACTACTTCTCGAATCGATTTCTTTCCTGGCCTGAAACCACCTGGGAGCTCATGGTAGGAGAGAACGTTAATGTGATTGTTTAGCCTGTGCTAAAATATAACTGCATTTGGTGTGACCACCCATCTACTTGTAAAAACACTCCCTCCAATCTCTGTATACTCATATGTTTTCATAAAGGCTGCAAACATAAGATCAAGAATCAGTCTCACTTTTCTCTCCATCTTCTCTTCTGTCACAAATTTCAGCAGTTCCTGAAGTGCCAGATTTCCTGGGGACATGGTTGGCATCCAGCTAAGGGAAGCTGGGTGGGATTTACATTTAGTTTGAATTTAGTGGAAATATTGAGGCAGTTAGAAGTCCTTTGAAGTCACTAGGTTATCGCAAATTGCCTTAGTGTAAGAATATGGCCTCCAGGAATGCTCCTATCACCCACTGTGCCAATTCTCCTGGCAAATTGACACAAAAGCCAGGCTCAGAGGTCACATAAGACATACTTATGTGAGACATACTTGTATGAGATGCACTTCCAATATATCTGGCATTGGAGTATGTGAGTAATAAAAGGTAAACAAGGTTTGAAAGGTACAGAGCCAAAGCTAATCTGTGGAAAATCCTCTGAATCATCAGATATGTAAAACTATAAATAGAAAATTCAATGCTCATAGCTTCCAGTCACAATGGAAGCTGTCTTTTGTCAGGAATAGAGTGGAAATCATAGCATATATGATTATAAATACTCCATAATTTTTATTTGTTTTTGATGGAATTAACAGGAAAATAAAACGTATTCAAAAGTGTGTTTATAAGGCAGAAATCTGTAGCAATGCCATATACAAGTATGTCTGTGTATCTGTATATGAAGTTCCTTATTTCAAATACTGCAATACATTAGACCTCACATTTGAATGTCACCTGAGCATCCTGTCTAGGGCAAGTATGGGGGACCCAGATGAAAACAGTTCACCACTTGCCGCTAAGAGCTGGCAGGAACCCATATAGACAAGTGTTTCAGAGAGAAGCACCTAGATAGGCCTGGAATGCTTCCGATTATGCCTTATCAATTTTACAAAATTTTTATATTTTATATTTTAATTAATTTTATATGTTTCAGAATTATTGGTTGCACTGAAAATCAAATACACCAAAAAATACATCAAATATACCAAAAATATGCCCAAAAATGCCTTCAATTCAATAAAGTGAATTGCCAGGAGAACTGGCCCAGTGGGTTACTAAAGATTAGTCATTGCTTACAAAACCTTGAAATGTCCTGGCATGTTAAACTCGTGCAAAAAAGAAACTTGATAAATGTTTCCTCAAACTTCGTAAAATTCCTAAAACTTTTCATGACATACTCAATGACAAATTGTGAAGCTGGAAGAAACTTATCTAAAATATCAATAATAATACACAAACTTCGATCTGGCACAATAGAGAAAAAATCCCTCCATTCCTCCTACACAAGAAACAATATTATAAAATTATCCTATAAAAGGCTCATATCAGAATATGAGCCATAAATTGTAGGAGAAAAATACTATAGAGCTACATTAGGCAATTAATAAAAATATTGTGTTATTTTTATGGATTGTGTGATGGGAAAATTAAGGCCAAGAGAAGTTAAGCCAAGGTCACCAATCACAGCAGGCTGATGACCGAGCTGAGATTCAGAACCAGGAAAAAGCATTGAATCTGTCTCTGTTTTATTTTCAACCATTTTAGTATTTCCATTTAAACATTTGGAAAATTGTCCATTTTCCTATTTTAACTTTGGGATTCAGAATCACCTGGAATACATACGATTTTCTATGCATTAGATTATAATCATCTTATTTTTAAATATAAATATGGTCATTAAGATTTATAGTTTAGCCATTTATGACTGTGTAGGATAAATTATATCACATGGTTATAATACTGTAGGAGTAGGAATTTTTGTTGTTAATTACATCGTATTGGAAAGCAGCTTTCTATACATATTTAATGTGTTACCTAACTCGTTCTTGCAGTACTAAAGAACCCTGGTAAATTCATTCTAATTATTCATATTCCAGGGCTATAACTAAATACGTTTTTAAAATCAAATATAAGCTGGCTCACCCTGAGAGGGAAAAAAACTCATAAAATAGCACAGATGCATTTATAACAAATTTCTGAGGTAACTTAAAAGTACTCCCTGAACAGTTCATTGTCATTTAATAAAATTCAGCTTCAGTTATCTAGAACGTTTAATCAAATTTTATTTTTTCATGAAGTCTTATCATATAAAGTTGAGGACTAATGAAAGCTAATTTTTAGGTAGATAAAATATTTCAGCAAAAAAGCATGAAAGCATAAAATACCCTTGTTAGTGAAATGCTAATATAAGAGTGTAAACTTCTATAATGAATTAAAAGCATCTCCATATTAACTAAGTTTAATGACTTTAAAGCACATAACAAAATATATTGCATTATAAGAAAAATATTTGAAACTACTCTGGTATTTCATCCAGAAACAGCTTCATGACCCAGCACCAAATAAACTTCCATACGAGTTCATAAACAAGAAGTCCATGAGCATCCTTAGCGGGCAGATTCACTCAATATATTTATGGCCGATAGGTTCAATAAATGGCTAAATAAAAAATATTGATATAATTCAGTGAGGCACAGTTTCTTGGGATCCATTATATTCAATTAACATAAGACTATTTCTTATGGTAACCAAATATGTAGATGTACCATATTATAGGGTAAATGATTATATTTTGGGCCAATATTTCTCAAATCAAATATGAATTACCCCCATTTTTTCAGGCCACTATTATAATAGTATTTTAGAAGATTTTATATGGCCACTTATGAGTTCCCAGGTGTTGCACATAACCTAAAAAACATAGTTGACCCACTCCATGGCAAAATACTCAAGGAAAATCTCCCTTTATCCCCATTAGAGTAGTAATCTACTTAAATTTTATAATATAACATTAAACTTCAACCCACTTCTTCCATTAATTAGTTTAGTACTAAAGAAGCAGGAATGGCTAGGCACAGTGGCTAACGCCTGTAATCCCAGCACTTTGGGAGGCCAAGGCGGGCAGATCACCTGAGGTCAGGAGTTCGAGACCAGCCTGGCCAACATGGTGAAACGCCATCTCTAATAAAAATACAAAAATTAGCTGGGCGTGGTGGTGGGCATCTGTAATACCAGCTACTCAAGAGTCTGAGCCAGGAGAATCGCTTGAACCCGGGAGGCGGAGGTTGCAGTGAGCCGAGATCACACCGCTGCACTCCAGCCTGGGCAACAAAGAGCGAAACTCTGACTCAAACACACACACACACACACACACACACACACACCAGGAACAAAATGCTATAAAATATAGAAGTTTGTTTTATAAATTAGAAGTAAAAACATATATGTTTATTTTATAAATTAGAAGTAAAAATATAATGTATGTGTACTGACAATGACTACAAAATAAAAAGTGAAGCCAAATAGTCACACATTAACCTATTTTTTCCATTTTTAAGCATATGCAATAGGTACCATTTCTAATAACCAACTTAATTTAAGTGTTTATAATGTATAAACACTTTAATATCATCAAAATAATACCAGCTTATTTTACTGGGGTAAAAACACGTACAATTCCATATTGTTAACTTTGAGGTACAATGCCATACAGCAGATCACTAGAACTTAATTATCCTGCATACCTGAAACTTCATACCCATTGAATAGCAGCTCTCCATTTCCACCTCCACTCTCAAGCAGCTATCATATTCTCATTTAGCAAGTAAGAAAAATATGCCCAGGAGCTTATGTGTTTTTTTAAGAAGGCTCATAAAAAGTGCACATCAGCACTGGGACACATACTCTGGTCTACTATTTCAAATTTTTTTCATTCTGACTCTACCATCCCTTACACATAGGTGATGTTCCTGTTTTCAAGGACTATATGTAATGGCAATGTTCTTAGAATAATATTCTTGAAAATCAATCACAAATTTTAAACCCATTGAGATCATCAAGCCTGGAAGTTCTCAATTCCTTTCCCTTATTGCAAAACACACACCACATCACTCTGACATGAGCAATGGATAACCATCTACTGTATTTATATTAAAATCAGCTAAAAGTTATTTGCAACGTCTGATGTATTTGCGGTAACCACACTTCTTTCTGCCTGGCAAGAAATCATCAGAACTCAAGTGATGGCGATATTATTGTAGGAACAGTCTTGAAATCAGTAGTTTAATCGCCATTAATAAGGGTTGCTTGGAAATCACCTCAAAAATTATCTCAAAATATCAGAATATAGAAATAGTCCAGCTGTGGGTGGCAGATTTGAGCCCTTCATTGCATCTGTAAGGCCTAGAAGTTGAGCAACTGGTCCAATGAAGGAGTTCTGGTATATGGTAGAAGCAGTACTAATATTCAGAGATCCTAATTCTGTTCTTCCCACCATTCTATTATCTCTTCATCTGCTTGTAGAGGTGAGAGATGTGAAATACCAGGTTTGGATTCACGAATTCAGGAGTTAGATTAAAACATATTTCAGTATCTGTCTTCTCTGTTTCTTGCGCCATTCAACAATAAGGATACATAGTAGCTAATATTAGAAAAGGGACTTGTGGATCTGAGAAGAATATCCAGAAGAAAGAATAACACACAAGGTTTCTGGGGAAAGTAGTTGAAGAAAGGAATTAAAATACAAGAGTGAGGCCTTTCATCCTGGACTCTGTCTGCCACCAGCTGCTTTTCTCTCAATAAACTCGTGAATCACTGAATCAAGTAATTATTGAATATCTAGTATGAACCATGTACTACACTTGTTACTAGAGGATATGTAACTTCTTTTGTAACACTTCAGTTACCTGAAGAAATTGAAGTTCTACATATAAGGAATTTACTAAAGACCCTAAAAATTAAGAATCAATACCCAATAGTGAGCACTGTACAAGTATTTGTTGATGGAACTATATTGATACTACCACTGTTTTAACATCAGATTTACTACAAATATGTTTCATTCCCACTTGAAAACAGATGTTGGCTTCTCACAAGAAAACTCAACATCTCTATTGCTATATAGTTATATATTTAAACTTATTTTAAACCACAAAGTCTCATTTTGGAGTGACCTAGATAATACCATCACCATATTGATAAAATATAGAGAAGAACTGCAGCTCTTTGGGACAATGGTTTCTAGCTGTGAAAGAGAAAGACCTTTTATATTATTAAAATAAATTTTGAGGATATAAGTCTTTGAGAAGATTGAATAGTTATCTTTTGTGTGTTATCTCTTGTGACGCTATGAGAAAGATGTATACCTAATTGGTTCAAAGCTTGGTACTGATAAACAATAGCTTGATAAATACCGAACAAAAGCATTTTTTTTTTCATTTTAACAGTTGTACTTATCAGGTTGGGGCGCTGTGGCTCAAGCCTGTAATCCTAGCACTTTGGGAGACCGAGGCATGTGGATCACGAGGTCAGGAGTTCAAGACCAGCCTGGCCAACACGGTGAAACCCCATCTCCACTAAAATTAGATAGGTGCGGTGGTGGGCACCTGCAATCCTAGCTACTCAGGAGGCTGAGGCAGGAGAATTGTTTGACCCTGGGAGGTGGAAGTTGCAGTGAGCCAAGATCGAGCCATTGCACTCTAGCCTGGGCAACAGAGCAAGACTCCATCTCAAAAAAGGCAAAAACAAAAACAATTATACTCATCAGAAGAATTAATGGTAAAAGTAAAGAACACAAACTAAATGTTTAGTCCTGTGCCCATATAAAGAGACAATTAATAAATGGAAGAGATTTTGATTTTGATTGCTCTAATAGATGATGGGTTTTGTCAGTAGGATGTAACTTCCCTCTAACTTCCTGAAATACATGTGACTACTTCCACTGAATGGTAGAATGTCAAAGTAAAACATTCTCAAAAGGTCAACTGAAAGTTCATCATTTTTAGGCCCTGAATTTTTTTTTTTTTTTTTTTTTTTTTTGAGACAGAGTCTTGCTCTGTCACCCAAGCTGGAGTGTAGTGTCAGCCTCTACCTCCTGGGTTAAAGCAATTCTCCTGCCTCATCCTGCCAAGTAGCTGAGACTACCAGTGTGCATCCCCATGCCCAGCTAGTTTTTGCATTTTTAGTACAGACAGGGTTTTGCCATATTGGCCAGGCTGGTCTCGAACTCCTGGACTCAAGTAATCCACCCACCTCGGCCTCCCAAAGTGCTGGGACTACAAACATGAGCCACTGCACCCAGCCAGGCCCTGAAATTTTTAATAACTGATGGTTCATTGGTTTAGCAAGCAACCATTGATTTTTTTCAACATTTTACAATATATGGTAGTGTTAGTCAAGAAGAATGGAACATTGTACTCATGACTCAGAGTGCATCCTCCATTTTAACTCTCAAATATTAAGTAAATATGAATTATTATCTACATTTTATATGTGGGGAACACAAGAACTAGAGACAATCAAAGCCCAAGTTCCAAATACTAATAGGAGGCAGATTATGACAGAAACATCTTGATGTCCCCAAAGCCATAATATAACTTTTTTTTTTTCTGGCATCCACCTTGAAAATGACGCTTCTATTATTTTAAGGTTTACCAGGTTTCTGGTTTACAAAATATACCAATACCTGTTTTCTTTTATGATTGTATCACTGGACTTAACTCAATACAATAAACATTTATACAATGTATGCTTTCTCCAAATGTTATCTTTTTATCACACAATCTCAATCATCCAGCAATACCTGCGGTTAGGGCCCAGCAGGGCAAGGTAGTAGGTTGTGTTTTTCATCTAAAAAATAAATAAGAACTTTATTATAAATAGGGTTTAAAGTGGGCCTCTTCCATAAGGAAGCCTCCAATTTTTTTAACATAAAAAAATTAATGTAAAGGTTTTATTTTTTTTTAATTTTTGTTGGTACATAGTAGGCGTATATATTTATGGCGTACATGAGATGTTTTGATTCAGGCATGTAATGTATAATAATCACATCAAGTAATATGAGAACACTTTTTTTTTTTTTTTTTGAGACAGAATCTCACTCTATCACCCAGGCTGGAGTGCGGCGTCACAATCTCAGCACACTGCAACCTCCACCTTCCAGGTTCAAGCAATTCTTGTGTCTCAGCCTTCCAAGTAGCTGAGATTACAGGCATGCACCACCATACCCAGCTACTTTTTGTATTTTTAGTACAGATGTGATTTACTTATGTTGGCCAGGCTGGTCTCGAACTCCTGACCTCAACTGATCCACCCGCCTCAGCCTCCCAAAGTGCTGGGTTTATAGGCATGAGCCACTGTGCCCAGCCCCACCACCCCATTTTTAATTGGACATATATTATTCCCAGCCTTCTGGTTTGGATCTGGCCCATGTGATACAAATGTAGTGTGGTACATCAGCATCCAGAAACCTAAAATACAGTTGGCATTGCAAGACTTCTACTTCTGATAATGACGGATTAGGTTATTCAAACCACCATTCCTGTTGAGAAAAATGGGGAATGCCAGACAAATTTAAAAGTCTGTCTGAGGACATTGTGGAGCTAAGAAATCAGTGAATATTTACAAGACTATGGCATAGAAAAAAATGTACCACCAGAGAGGCAAGCTCAGCATTTGGTTCTGCCTTTTCTGTAAGGTCTGTGTACCAATTCAGAACATGCAGCTGAAAGGCTGAGAATGCTGAGCAGAGTGTTTTAACAGCCCCATGTAAATAATGGCACAAATATTAGATTCCAAGACTTACCAAGCAGAAGGAACACTAGGAAACAAACACTTTGAATTGAGACCCCAAAACTGCAGCCTTTAATTAAAGGTGAAATAGAAACACACTGGACCTATAAGAAATGAAGCCCAATTTTGTAAAATCTCAATCACTGAAATTAGTTTGTGATGATCCAGATTTGCCAATGTCCCTAGCAACCAGCCACAAGCAAAATATATTCTAAAAAAGAATGAGACACATAGGGGACAGGACTATGTGATTTAAAAAGAGAAAAAACAGGCAAAACAAACAGAACCACAGGAAATCTAACAAATAGTTACAAGATAAAGAATTTTAAATAGCTAAGCTGAATATTTTCAAGAAGATAAATTTAAAGCTCAAGAAAGTTGGCAGATAAATGGAAACAAAGAAATGAAAATTTCTAGAACTGGAAGAGAAATTAAATGAAATTAAGAATTTAAAGGATGTGCTTAAAAGTAGATCAGATGCAGCTAAAGAGAAAATCTGTGAACTTGAAGATTGATCAGAAGAAAACACCCAGGATGAAGCATAAATAAACAATAGAACATAAAAAGGCAACAAAATGAGCTTAAAGTAATAGAAGATACAGTAAGAATACACACAAACACACACAATTGAAGCTCAGAAAAACAAAGGAGAAAGAGTGGGAAAGAAGCAATATTTAAAGACATGAAAAATTCCTGAAAATTTCCCAATGCCAAGGAAAGGCATCAAGGTATTGAGTCAAGAATTCTAGCATATCACAAGCATGATAAAAAAAAAAAAACTACACAGTAGTGGGTTGAAGAGTGTTCTCCAAAAATCCATGTCCACTCAGAACCTCAGCTTCTTGACCTTATTTCAAAATAAGGTCTTTGCAAATGTAATTAATTAAGGATACCAAAATTAAATTATCCTAGATTTGGGGTTCACCCTAAATCTAGTCGCCAGATTCCTTATAAGAAGAGGAGAGGATACATCAAGAAGAGAAGAAGGCCGTGTGAAGATGGAGACAGACACTGGAGTGATGCTGCCATAAGCCAAGAAATGCCTGGGGCCACAAGAAGCTGGAAGATGCAGGAAAAACTTTTTTCCTTGAGCCTCCAGAGAAAGTTTGCTTTCTTCTGCTATCTTGATTTTGGCTTAACAACAAAATTTTCAGAGTTCTAGCCTCCAGAACTGTGAAAAAATAAATGTCTTGTTTTTAAACCATCCTGTTACAACAGCCCTAGAAAACTAATTCATACCCCAAGAACTTTAAAGTTCTGAAAATTGCTTCAGAGCTTCAGAGAAGCCATCAAAAAGACTGACAGGAATCACTTCTCAACAGAAATAAAACAATCAAGAAGATGAGGGAATATTTTCAAAGCACTGAATCTTATTGTATACATAATCCATTGCTGCATAAAAAGTTACCCCCAAAACTTGGTGGCTGCAGACAATGCATATTTATTATCATTCAGGTTTTGTGGGTAAAGAATCCATATGTAGATTAACAGGGTGCCTCTGGCTCAAAGTCATTCCTGCGTCTGCAGTCAAGCCATTAGCCAGGATTAAGGTCCCACCTAAAATCTCAGCCTAGACAGGAAGGAGGAAACTCCTTCCAACCTCACCTCTATGGTTGTTTGCAAGCCTCCATCCCTTGCCATGTCGGTTTATTGACAAGGATTCCTCCCAACATGGCAAGTAGCTTCAACCAAAGCAAGTCATTCAAGCTCAGGTGTAGATGAACCTCCAAAGGTATAAATCTTTACAGCAACTCAAGTATAGTTCCTCATGATCTATAGAGCAGTGAATCTAAAATGACTAGTAATCTTTTCCCAACACACAAAACATACATTGGTGGAACAGGAACAGGATAACCACTATAGACATTTCTGTTCAAAGAGAGGAAGATGTGAACCACAAACTAGCCACTGGTCCATAGCAATTTTAAAATTGAGATGTGCAAATGTTGCAAGCTCCTTGATTACATCCGAGGTCTGATAATAATTCCTCATGATTCCCTGCTTCGCTCTCTGTGCTCTTATTTCCACCCTCTAAGGCATCTTTTTTCATGGAAGTTAGTATATGTTTGAAAACCTCAGTCTGTTTTCTGCCAGAAGCTTCCCTCATCTGGTACTGTGTTCTCCTTATTCCAAGATGCCAATGTTTGTACATATATAACTCTTTTAAAAATATTGTGGGTCTCTTGCCAATCTTCTTGATATTTACTTTATTAGATAAAAAGCTACATCTCCAAATTTCCTCGAGATAAATATGTTTCTATCTTGGATATCTATAGAGTCATAATACTCTTCAGCTTCTTAGAATCCATATTGTTTAGGAGGATCTACAAGTCCCATGATTAAGTAATTTAAAGAGCTTTACACTTGACTAAATAATACTCTGAGTAAACCACCTTTGATTTTCCAATTATACCTTCAGCTTCATCCTTAGACCAAATTTTCTTGAGAATGCCTTGTATTTGGTCTTTGTTCAGAAGCCACTTCTTAACTTTAGCATTATTTTTTATCTGTATAGGCTGAGAATTTTCAAAACCATCAAGTTAAGTTCTGACTCCTTTTTGTTTGACAGCCCATCTCTCAATTTATCTCTCTCTGCACATTTTGCTATAAGCATCAGAAGAAACCAAGTGACACCTTCAGAATTTTGCTTAGAAATTTTAGTTATGTCATTCAAAAGGAAATTTTCTACCTTTCATGAACTTTCTGCCACTACATAACAAAAATCTCCTGTCTCCAGTTCCAATAAGATATTTATTACTATCCAGTAAAACTTCACTGGCAGCATTCTCAGAGATGATGGGATTTCTCTGAACACTTTCTTCAATGCACTTTAGAGTTCCACTAACTCTCTCTCCTCAAAGTCCACTGAGCAATTCCAAAGCCACTCACACATTTTAAGTATTTTTTACTTGAAACATCTATTTTATACGGAATGAAAAATGACAACCCCAAAAGGCTGCATAGTGTATAATTTCAATTAGGTAAACATTCCTCACAGGACAAAATTATGGGAATGAAGAGCAAATCAGTGATCACCAGCGATCAAGGATATGGGAAGGAGGTGTGTGTCTATAAAGGGGTAGCATAAAGGACCACGTAATGAGATCAGAGTTATGTATTTGGTGATCAGCGATGGTTACAACAAATCTACACATATGATAAAATTGTATCAAACTGCATGCACACAAACACACAACTGCATGTAAAACTGGTGAAATGAATATGTTTTGTAGATTCTACCATTCTCAATTTCCTGGATTTTATATTGCACCACAGTTATGTGAGATGTTAGCATTGGGGGAAACTGAATAAAGGGTACACAGGACATCCTTGTACATGCTTTTTGGAACTTCTGACAAGTCTATTATTCAAAATAAAATGTTTTTTAAAAAAACTTATCAAAATGGACACAAGAAAAATAAGAAATCTGATTATTTCATATGTAACAAATTTTATCAACAGTTAAAATTCCAGGCCCATATGGCTTCACCAGTGAATTTTACCAAACATTTCAAAAAAATAAATAAATCCCAACTCATTATATCAAAACACCTTAATCTTGCTACCAAAACCTGTCCATTACACGGCATTACAAGGACAAGACAGGGAAATTGCAGTTCTACCTCAATCGTGAATATAGTTAATCCTAAACAGAGTATTTGCAAACTGAATCCAGTATAAAAGGGATCATTCATCAAGGCAAAATAGGGTTTATTGTCAGGATTTACAAATTGAATCAACGTTTGAAAATCACTTAATTCACTAGCAAAATAAAAGAAAAACTAATACAGATATCAATATATGCCGAAAAATGATAAAATCAAATCCTCATTCATGATTTTTAAATAGTAATAATAACAACTCTTAGAAAACTATGTGGCAGACAATATGCAAAGGACAATGGCCAGACCCAAAGCCTGCAGCAATTTGCCCAGAAACCAACCCCTCATGGACAGTCTACGGCCCAGAAAGCTGTCTGCTTGTACGAAGTCAGGCTGCTATCTCTAGTAACAATCCAGGAAGTCAAACAATAACCCTTGTAACAATGGATCCAGAATGGCTGGCACTCGATTAATAACTGACAGCTTTCCTAATTTTTGTCCTCACTTCTGCCTTAGAAACAGAGAAAATAGCCAACAGCCTGCAATCAGGGCACACCTGAAGTCTCCCTTTTTTTCCTAGATAAAGCTTTCCCGCTGGGTGCGGTAGCTCACGCCTGTAATCCCAGCACTTTGGAAGGCCGAAGTGAGCAGATCACCTGAGGTCGGGAGTTTGAGAACAGCCTGACCAACATGGAGAAACCCCATCTCTACTAAAAATACAAAAAAAAAAAAAAAAAAAAAATAGCCCGGCATGGTGGTACATGCCTGTAATCCCAGCTACTGGGGAGGCTGAGGCAGAAGAATCACTTGAACCCAGGAGGCAGATGTTCCAGTGAGCCCAGATCCCACCATCATACTCCAGCCTGGGCAACAAGAGAGAAACTCCGTCTCAAAAAATAAAAACAAAGAAAAAGAAAAGAAAAGAAAAAGCTTTCCACTCCTCTGCCTGCCTGTGAGTCTCTGCCAAAATGCAGGTGATGGTGGTGGACTCCCTTGCAACAGCAGACTCTAAAAAATAGCCTTTGCTTTTCTCTTTGGCTGGTCTTCATTTGTTTCTACAAATAATAGAAGAATATTTCTTAATTTAAGAAAAAGACACCTGCAAAAACCTACGACAAACTTTATACTCAATGGTAAAATACTGAAAGCTTTCCCTCTGAGTTCCTGAGTGAGACAAAAACTACCTTTAGCTCCATTCAACACTATACTGAAGATTGTAGTCAGCCCCATAAAGCAAGAAACAGAAATAAAAATAGAATAAAATTAGGAAGAAATAAAGCTGTCATTTTTCCAGACAATATGATTCTATAAAAAATAAATCCCAATAAATCTACATAAAAATTATTAAAAATTAGTGAGCTTAACAAAGTAGTTCATAAGGCTAATAACCAAAAACATATTCCATCTTTATGCATTAGCAACAAAAATTTGGAAACTACAACTCTGAAAAGATACTATATACAGCCAGGCACAGTGGCTCACACCTGGAATCCCTGCTCTTTGGGATGCCAAGGCAGGAGGATCGATTGAGACCAGGAGTTTAGGACCAGCCTGGGAAACATAACGAGACCCCCTTCTCTACAAAAAATTCAGAAAATTAGCCAAACAGGGTGCCACACATCTGTAGTCACAGCTGCTAGGGAGGATTAGGTAGGAGAATCACATGAGCCCAGGAATTTGAGGTGGCAGTGAGGTATAATTATATCACTGCACTCCAGTCTCAGCAACTGAGTGTGAACCTATCTTTAAAAAAGTAAATATATATATATATATGTGTGTGTGTGTGTGTGTGTATATATGTGTGTATATATATGTATATATGTGTGTGTGTATATATATATACACACACATTTATATATATACATTTATATATATTTATTTATAATAACTCAAAACCACCTGGTATCCAGGGAGAAATAAATACATATAACAATCTGCATGACTACTAAACAGTAAACTTTAAAACATTAGTTAAAATAAATATTCTCAAAAAATAAAAATATGGTAAAAAATGATAATTCTCCCCAAATTATCGATAGATTCGGTGCAATTTTAATCAAAATCCCAATATATTTTCCTGTGGAAATGGATACATAAGCTCATTCTACCTTTTATGTAAAAAAAGGCCATAATTAAGCAAGACATTCTTGAAAAAGAATGTTAAGGTGGGTCTATCATATATAAAGATCAGACATAAAGCTATAGTAATTTAGATGTGGTATTGCCACATGTTTAGCCAAATGAACAAATAGAGAAGAATACAGATTTCAGAAACAGAACCATTCACATATGGAGAAAGCTGGTGTTACACAACAGAGGGAGAAAGTTATTTCAATAACTAGCTCTTGGTCAAATACATACCCACTAAGAAAAACAACGAAACTTCATCTCTCACACCATTCACAGAAATTACTTTAAGCAGGTTTTAAACCTAAATGTGAAATAAAAAAAAATAAAGCTTCGATAATCTAACAGATTAATACCTTCCTTATTCTAATACTTGCCATAAGGAAAGATTAAACAAAATACAAAAAAAAGCAAAAACACAAAATATATTTAGAGTCCATTAATAATAATTAATTTAAATCATGTGTTCATTAAAAAAACCCCTATTATAAAAATGAAAAGGCAAGCCATGGAGTGGGGGGGGCACATATTTGCAACACCTTCAACTGGCGAAAGAATAGTATCCAGAATATAGTAAGAACACCTATGGTAAGAAAAAGACAGACAACCCAACACAAATACAATCAAGAGAATTATTGAACAGGTACTTCACAATTGAAAATATCCAGTCCAGGCACGGTGGCTCATACCTGTAATCAGAGTGCTTTGGGAAGCTGAGGTGGGAGGATTTCTTGAGCCCAGAAGTTCAAGACCAGCCTGGGCAACATGGAAAAACCCTGTCTCCACAGAAAATTAGCTGGGTATGCGGTACACCCCTGTAGTCCCAGTTACTTGGGAGGCTATGGTGGGAGGATCACTTGAGCAGGGGAGGTCAAGGCTGTAGTGAACTTTGATTGTGCCCCTGCACTCCAGCTTGGGCAACAGAGTGAGACCCTGTCTCAAAAAAAAAAAAAAAAAAAAAATCTCGGCCTGGTGCAGTGGCTCACACCAGTAGTAATCCCACCACTTTGGGATGCCGACACAGGTGGATCACAAGGTCAGGAGATCGAAACCATCCTGGCCAACATGATGAAACCATGTCTCTACTAAAAATACAAAAATTAGCTGGGTGTGGTGGCGAATGCCTATAATCCCAGCTACTTGGGAGGCTGAGGCAGGAGAATCGCTTGAATCCAGGAGGCAGAGATTGCAGTGAGCTGAGATCGCACCACTGCACTCCAACCTGGCGACAGAGCAAGACACCGTCTCAAAAAAATAAATAAATAAATAAATAAATACAAATCTCAAAAGCCATAAATATATTAAAAGATGTTCAACTGGCCAGGCATGGTGGCTCATGCCTATAATCCCAGCACTTTGGAGGCCAAGGTGGGTGAGTCACCTGAGGTCAGGAATTCGAAACCAGCCTGGCCAACATGGTAAAACCCATCTCTACTAAAAATACAAAAATTAGCCGGGCGCGGTGGTGGGTGCCTATAATCTCAGCTACTTGGGAGGCTGAGGCAGGAGAATCACTGGAACCCAGGAGGTGGAAGTTGCAGTGAGCCGAGATCACGCCATTGCACTCCAGCCTGGGCAGCAAGAACAAAACTCTGTCTCAAAAAATAAAAATGTAAATATAAATATAAAAAAATAAAAAGACGTTCAATTTCATTAGTAATCAGTGAAATGAAAACAAAAAGGTACCACTATATACCCATGAGAATGCCTAATAAAAAAAGACAATACCAAGTATTGACAGGCAAGTGGGAGATTGGAAATGCACGTGCTCTGTGAGTGGTAAATTTGTACAACCATTCAGAACACACGCATACCCAGCACAAATACACAGGAGTGCTGGACATGAGTACAAGAACGTTCATAGCTGCCAGAGCGGTGGCTCACGCCTGTAATCCCAGTACTTTGGAAGACCGAGCGCGGTGGATCACCTGAGGTTGGGAATTCCAGACCAGCCTGACCAACATGGACAAACCCCATCTCTACTAAAAATACAAAATTAGCCGGGTGTGGTGGTGCATGCCTGTAATCACAGCTACTCGGGAGGCTGAGGCAGGAGAATCGCTTGAACCCAGGAGGCGGGAGTTACGGTGAGCCAAGATCCTGCCATTGCACTCTAGCCTGGGCAACAAGTGTGAAACTCTGTCTCAAAAAAAAAAAAAAAAAAGAAAGAAAGAAAGAAAAAGGCCAGGCGCAGTGGCTCACGCCTGTAATCCCAGAATTTTGGGAGGCCAAGAAGGGCAGATCACTAGGTCAGGAGATCAAGACCATCCTGGCTAACACGGTGAAACCCCCTCTCTACTAAAAACACAAAAAATTAGCCAGGCATGGTGGCTGGCACCTGTAGTCCCAGCTACTCGGGAGGGTGAAGCAGGAGAATGCTATAAACCCGGGAGGCAGAGCTTGCATTGAGCCGAGATCGCCACTGCACTCCAGCCTGGGCAACAGAGCAAGACTCCGTCTCAAAAAAAAATAATAATTAAAAGAAAAGAATGTTCATAGCAGCACTATTCCTAACAGTCCCAATTGAGAAACAAGCCAAATCATCAACAATAAAATAAATACAACACAGACAGCCATGAAGTCTGATAAACTGCAGCTACCTTTAGCAACATGATGAATCTCATAAATATAAAGAGAAAGAAGGTGTGTTCAAGAACACATAGTGTACAGTTAAATTTATATAAAATTCAAAAACAGGCAAAGAAGTCAAGACCTACCCACCTTTGAGAAAGAAGAAAGGGTGCTGATGGAGAAGTGGTAAAAGACAGAGGTAGTGGGATCCTCAGGGGCTGGCTGTGTCTCTTGACCGCTGTGGTAAATTCGTAAGCATCTTCTCTATCATAATTTATTAAGCTGCACATTTCATACTATGCATTGTTTTGTGTGTCACTGAGTCCAAACTCATTCTGCTTGCTGCACAAAGGCCAGTAAGTTGAGAGACAAGGAGTTGGAGCAAAGAAAGCCACTTTTTTGTTTGTTTTTTGTTTTTTGTTTTTTTGAGACGGAGTCTTGTGTCACTAGGCTGAAGTACAGTGGCGCAATCTTGGCTCACTGCAACCTCCGATTCCCTGGTTCAAGCGATTCTCCTGCCTCAGCCTCCCAAGTACCTGGGATTACAGGCATGCACCACCATGCCCAGCTATTTTTTTGTATTTTTAGTAGAGATGGGGCTTTCACCATGTTGGCCAGGATGGTCTCAATCTCCTGACCTTGTGATCCACCCGCCTCAGCCTCCCAAAGTGCTGGGATTACAGGCATGAGCCACTGCACCCGGCCAGAAAACCACTTTATTAGGACAGCCAGCAAGCCAAGAAGATGGTGGACTAATGCCCTGAAGAACCAGCTCAAAGTTAAGTGGGCTTTGCCTTGTCTTTTATCTTTAGGTAAGGGGGAAGGGGGGTTGACAACGACAGGTATCTGGGCACCAACAAGGGTCCTCGGTAATGATCTCTCATATGGTGATAGCCAAACCTCCTCGCTCCCATAAATCTTCAACAAAACAGTTAGTTGCTTACAGTCCCCATTCATCCACATGATTGCTGTTTTTGAGTTTTATCTCAGTGCTCTAAAATTATCCTAGCCTATGGACAGGAATGGGCAGAGGTCCCTTAAACAAAACTGGTGTTAGTTATGCGGTTTCACTGTTACATGGGTATTCAATGTCAATTAAAGCATCTTTGAATAAAAGGGCACCTGCTTCATGCCCTCTGTTCCTTCTTCATGTTCCTCTGCCCTGATGCCTGACGTGCTCATGGGCCAGCTGGTGCCTTAGTTACCATGCTGGACCATCAGCACAAGTTCTGGGCATCATATACATGAGCTAGAAAGAGCCAAGATCCCTGAGGCCAACATGCTTTCCACAGACTTCCTGCCTCTGGATGTTTATGTGAGAGAAATAAACCTTTACCTGTGGTAAGACACCATAGTTTGGGTCAATGGAACACAAATCCTATCTTCACTGATACAAAAAGCCAGATCACAAGTCTAAAGCTCACAGCCGTCTACGCCCATCTTTTTCCACAACCCTCTCAGAGTCTTACACTGTTAGGGATGAACCATTCTGGAAATTTCGTGTCAAAGAAAAAGCAATCAAATCCATTTATGTAAAAGTGAATATTGGGGCACTGCCAAAAAAACTTTAATTGGAAACTTTCTGATTTGTTACACCTTAAAAAAATCAAACAGTGTTTTATGGCATTGATTTTTCTCTTTTTCAGCTATGGCAGCTGTTGCTTTGTAAAACTGGAATGTGACCTTTTCCTTCTTCCCACATGATTTACTCACTCCTGCATGTTAATACTTGGCAAATGATTTTTTCCTGAATATGCAGATATTTCTAAGCACTTTACTTGGTTTTTCCCATGACAATTTCAGGGTACACTTAATGTCATTTGGAATATTTTACATGGAAATAAAGAGAGGAAACGGAAGGAAATATGCGAAGATGTGATTCACTAGCTTAAAAAGCCCTTTCCTTGGTAAAGGGTCACTCAAAATGTTTCACGAGGGAAATATACAGCCACATAATCAAACAGAATAAAGCAGAAACTCAGTGCAAGAGCTGTCCACTGGCATAAGCAGCTCAAAGACGAGACCTTAACTGGAACTTTGGAGCTCAGGCATGCTTCATCTGAGAAATTCACAAGTCATTTTATAACATCCAGTTTTCTAATTTTCAGCTAACTTATGAGTTTCTTGGTTGTTACTTTTAGTGAGAATCTAATCCAAATAGTATTTTTCATGACCTCCACTGAGTTCTCCAGGGCAGGGTTCTCTATCCTTCACCCACTTTGGCCCTACCTAACTTCATTCCCATTACAAAGGGGACCCCTTAGTGTAACCATGTGTCTCAGACATGCAAGAAGAGAGAGCTATGCACTGAATGTTTGTGTCGCCACCTCCCCACCACCACCAAAATTCAAATGTTAAACCCCAAATCTCCAATGTGATGGTATTTGGAAGTAGGGCCTTTGAAAAGTAATTAAATTTAATGAGGTCTTAAGGTCGAGCCCCCATAATGAGACTACTGTCCTTAGAAGAGCAGAAACCAGAGCTCATTCTCTCTCCATCATGTGAGAACACAGCAAGAAGGCAGCCGTCTACAAGCCAGGAAGAGAGAACTCACCAAGAACCAGATCTGCTGATGGCTTGATCTCGTACTTCAGCCTCCAGATCTGTGACAAATGTTTGTGATTTAAGCCACCCAGGCCTCGCTATTTTGTTAAAGCCACCCAACTTGACTAAGACACAAGGGATTAGTATAGCTTGAGAGGGGTTCAAGTTCTGAACATGGTACAGATTCAAAGAAAACAGGACTTGCCCACAAGAAACAAGATTAAGCCAGTACCCTCAATAGAACAGAAGAGCTAGAAAATAAGGGAAAAGGGACTGGAAAGTAAGAAGGAAGGGATGTGTGTGTGTGTGTGTCTGCCTGTCTGAAACAGGTACTACAGGGACGAGTGGATGACCCAATGGATTCTGCACCATCTTCTGGCCTCTGTGCCCATGCTCCACTCCATGTAAGGCTGGGCTCTTTCCTGTGATGGGCTGCATCTTTCATGATGGCAGGTCACCATCAACGACTCACTCCTCCTACTTCTTATATTATTAAGTATCTATAAGAAAGGACTGCTCCCTGGATCAGCCTTGCCCTCAAAGTAGTGTAGGTTCAAGTGGGAGAAGAATTGGAGAGGAGAATAAACAAGGCTTCTGCAGCTCACCAGGGGAAGATGACTTTGAATTTCTTTAAAAATTGGATCTTTTATCTCACTGGGAGGTGAGACTAGAGATGATAAAAGGACAGAAATGAACAGAAGCTCCCATACCTCCATCAAGAGCCCACCACCCCCTCCACCTGTGAAGAATTGCCAATGATTGATCTCTCTGTCCTCTCTCATTTCTTCTACTGCACCCCTGCCCCTGCCTTGCTGTAGCTCAAAGCATCACATCTCACTAGCTTTTTTTGTATTAGGCAAATAGTACTGAGCCTCAGTTTCTCCATACTATCTCCAAAGATGGTTGTGAAAATTAAAATGAGGTCATATGGGCAGTGACCCTCACACTGCCTGGTATATAAAGGGCACTCAATAAAAATTTCTTTCTCCTGGCATATTAGAGAGTGTGGCATGAACAAAAACAGCAGAGCACTTGTTAAAACCCTCAGATTTTCTCTTTTGTTGAGTAGACCTAAAACAGGAAACCTCTTGCTGGGTAACTTACTGAAACTTTAAGCCTCAGTTCCACATCTGTAAAACTGTGATAAAATTACTTCCTCATAGGAGGATTTGTAAAATAAAAAGATGAGATAACGCCTCTAGAATCTTTAACATAGGATCTGAAACATGGCACTTTTCAACAAATGGTAGCACCTGATAATGATGAAGCAGGATTCTACAACAGCTTTTTCTGGCTAAGCTTGGATTCAAATTTTGGGAGGGCAGACAACACCTCCACCCACCACCCCTAATATAGTTTTATACCTGTTGATATCGATGGCAGCTTTTTAATATATCTGGGTGAAAAGAATGCTACATAGATTTCTCATGGTTTTCCCATTCAACAAATCCAATAGAGCTGAAGTGTAAATAAGAGAAAAATACATTTAATTTATTAGATTAGTCGTAATTGATCAATGTTGAGAAAACAAAGCATGGAACATTTATGGTTTGAGCACTATTGTCCTAAACAGTTTAAGGTGGGGAGCAAAAGTCAGAAAGGAATTTACAGGTGCCACAAGCCCCTATTTGATCATTTAGTTTGGCACGAGGGTTGCACAATCCACACATTCCTGCAGGTAAACAGTGCAAAGACAGATGTATCCATCTGCATGTATATTCTCCCCGGCCACATTGCTTGCAGGAATGTGTGCTTTTATCATCTGAAAATCCTTAAACGAGTCTGACAAACCATAGAATTACTTTAAACAAGTATCTGACTGCCTCCTAATGTTTGGAAATAGAAGCATAGATAAATGACTAAATTGGCAAAGAACTTTCTAGGGGAACATTGATTGGCTCTTCACCATCTTTCTACAACTCTTTAGGGAATGATCCTGCTGGAAAATGTTTGCAAAGAGAGTTTAAGAAATTTCTCCTTCTTCCCTGATTCCTCAAAAATCATTCATCACACCAAGGGCTGAAATAAAGGATGTTTTGGACAACTAAGAAGTCTCTGCCAGGCGCAGTGGCTCATGCCTGTAATCCCAGCACTTTGGGAGGCCGAAGCCAACAGATCATGAGGTCAGGAGATCAAGACCATCCTGGCTAACACGGTGAAACCCCATCTCTACTAAAAATACAAAAAATTAGCCGGGCATGGTGGCAGGTGCCTGTAGTCCCAGCTACTTGGGAGGCTGAGGCAGGAGAATGGCATGAACCAGGGAGGCAGAGCTTGTGGTGAGCTGAGATCATGCCACTGTACTCCATCCTGGGCGACAGAGCAAGATTCCATCTCAAAAATAAATAAATAAATAAATAAATAAATAAATAAATAGGTAAATCTGTTCAGGGCTCTCAGCTCTGAAGGTTGTGAGACCCCTGATTTCCCACTTCACACCTCTATATTTCAGTGTGTGTGTCTTTAATTCCTCTAGCGCCGCTGGGTTAGGGTCTCCCCGACCAAACTGGTCTGGGCAGTAGTTAGGCTCCCAGGGCTCAAATCTCAGGTCTGTCACTCTGTTCCTTGGACAACTTATTTAACCATATCATGCCCCGGGTTCCTTCTTCTGAAAAAAAGGCCAAGTCCTGAAGTTAAGCATGAATCCTAATCAGCATTTCCAAGAGTCCCTAGAACACAAGAGGTGCTGTGATTATGAGTCCTTACTCTGTTCTTCTGCCTAAACCACCTCCCTCCTACAGTGCAGAATCTCCTGGAGGGAGGTGATTTAGGAAGCAGAACAGAGTGAGAACTCTCTCTCTATCATTCTCTCCGTCTCTACCATTCTGTCTGTACCACTTGGAGCTCTGGACTCCCAGATGCATGAACGCAAGCTTCTGAGCCAGCTGCCACTGCCCTGACTCTCGTGCTGTAGTCAGGTTGAGGGCCAACCGGCCCTTCAAGCTCTTCTGCCAGGTAAGATTGCAGCAAGGCAGCCCTCATTGGACACCCCATCTGCTGGCACCTTGATATTGGACTTCCCAGTCTCCAGAAATGTGAGAAACAAATCTGTTGTTTAGAATATACCCAGTCCGCGGTATTTTGTTACATCAGCCTGAGTGGACTATCATGGGCACATTCGCATCTTGGAGCAATTGAAATGTCAGTCTACTCAATCTGCTTGGAAGTCAGAAGAGGACCCAGTGCAAAATAGAAAGGCAGGGGCTCTTGTTCATAAAGCAGGAACATTTGTCCTTTGCTCAACAGTCTCTACTAGTCCTGTGCTTATTTCCTATTTAATGTCACTCTCCTGGGGGCATGGGGATCTACATGTGGTGAGTGCAGACTCATACAGGTGCCTAGGTGCCCATGGAGTGCAGCTCACAACTCCTTGCAGAGGTGGACGCACCTGACCATGACCTCCCATGGCCTGGCGCAAAGGCACTAGAAGAGGTGGTAGGGTGGGCAGGGGAGAATCTGCCCTGGGGGAGGGAGGACAGTGCACCCGGCCAGCACCAACCACAACACATACTCCATTGCTCCATCAGAGGTCATCAACAGAACGCAAAGTCAAGGAAGAAACGAAGAACTTCAATAGGGCGACCACAAAGAATTAAACCAAAGTCCACAGGTCACACACTCTCAAAGCTGGTCCTGACAGGAAACTTGCTTTAGTTCATCCCTTTACAAAAGAATACCTGGTCTCATCTGAAATGTAACTCATCACTTGAGGCTGTGATAAGATTGTCACCTCCCCCAGCTAGTCCCAGCTGCCAACTGCCCGAGGAAGTCTCAATGCTGAGACACGGGAAGGGTTTTTGCACCTTGAACAAGGAGCATCTTGACTTCTAGTGCGTGAAAATGGACTTTCATCATTGACTGAACAAATAAAAGGGCAGATTCCATGATCAAAAAGCCAATATGCCACGCTCTTGCTAGAAAAACAAAGAGTTGTAACAACACAGCCATACAGATATCTAGAGAAATCAATTCACAAAACCTCATCAGCTAGTGTCCATACCGTCCTCAGGTTTTTATTTATAATGGGGGAATTGTAACAAAATCCACCTTCTAGGGTTGCTGTTAGGATTAATAAGATGAACACAGAGCTGAGCCCAGAATCTGGCATATAAAGCATTCAATAAGCAATAGCCAATGTGGTGATTATTATTGAGCGAGAAAAGCATATTCGGTTGCAAGGACATGGAAGGTAGAACCGCATTATCACACACAGACCAGATCAAAACACAGTGATACGAAAATTGTGTTTTGGATGCAGTGCAGAGGCCACTCAGTTCAGCACCTGGGTGGTCAGCATATGAGGGAATTCCTGTTAATGGGTAAGTGTCAAAATAATTCTGTGGTCACTATTAGGTTGGTGCAAAAGTTATTATGATTTTTGTCATTAAAAGTAATAGCAGCCGGGCAAGGTTGCTCAAGCCTGTAATCCCAGCACTTTGTGAGGCCGAGGTGGGTGGATCATGAGGTCAAGAGATCGACACAATCCTGGCTAACACAGTGAAACCCCATCTCAACTAAAAATACAAAAAATTAGCTGGGCATGGTGGAGGGCGCCTGTAGTCCCAGCTACTTGGGAGGCTGAGGCAGCAGAATGGCGTGAACCCTGGAGGCGGAGCTTGCAGTGAGCCAAGATCACACCACTGCACTCCAGCCTGGGGGACAGAGCGAGACTCCGTCTCAAAAAATAAATAAAAATAAAAAGTAAAGGCAAAAACTGAAATTACTTTTGCACCAACCTAATAATACCCCTACTTTTTGGGAACCACATGCTAAAAGTAAGTAGGGATGAAGCATGATACTTAGAATTTACTGTTTAGCAAAAATTACAGAGATGAAGCAAATGTGGCAAATTGTGAACCGAGGAGCCCCGGCGGCAGATGTATGAGTACTCACTGTCCTGTTCTTTACACATTTCTGTGGTTTTGAAAATGCTTAAAACTGGTGAGTGTTGCCAGCAAAAAACATGTGGCTTTTATAGCGTTCTGTATGTAATCAGGAACACAGGAAACAGTAGAGAATGTTCATCCATCTTAAGAACCAGGGTGAAAAATGCCCCAGGGCTTATTGAGATAGAGTCTCACTCTGTTGCCAGGCAGGAGTGCAGTGGCACGATCTCGGCTCACTGCAACCTCCGCCTCCCGAGTTCAAGTGATTCTCCTGCCTCAGCCTCCCAAGGAGCTGGTACCTGTAGTACCTGGGACTACACGTGTGCACCACCATGCCCAGCTAATTTTTGTATTTTTACTGGAGACCGGGTTTCACCATGTTGGCCAGGATGGTCTTGATCTCTTGATCTCATGAACTGCCTGCTTCCATTTCCCAAAGCGCCAGGGTTACAGGCGTGAGCCACTGCACCCGGCCAGGATTTTTATATAATATATTACTACCAGGACCACAGGGCCCTACTGAGGCAGGGCTCACAACGGATAGCCTGGTAATCATCGGCCCTCTACCTGAGAGCCTCCAGCTGGCTGTGCTGCACACTGTACTGGGAGGAAGAGAGGCTCATGAGAAGACCCTGGAATGTGGAATCAAATAGCACTGGATTCCACTCCGGCCTCTCCACTTTCGAAATAAATCTGAGCAACGTTTCATCGTCCCAAGTCGCCGTGTTCTCAACCACACATTTGGAAATGGGTTTATGAATTCTGGTAGAGATTTTTTTAGGTAGTTCAATTCCGGCTTAGGTTATTGTCTACGCATGAATAACTCTGAATTCTACATATTTGCTCTGATTCTTCAACTAAATATGTACATTGTGTGATAGGAAAATAAATCTTGGGGCCCCAAAATCACTAAGCTACAGGGAAGTCAAGCTGGGAACTGCTTAGGGCCAACCTGTCTCCCACTCTATTCAAAGTCACCCCTCTGCTCACTGAGATAAACGCCTGTCTGATTGTCTCCTTTGGAGAGGCTCATCAGAAATGCAAAAAAAAATGTACCCATGACCTGGAAGCCCCCTCCCCACTTCAAGTTTTCGTGCCTTTCCCGACTGAACCAAGTTTATCTTACATATTTTGATTGATGTCTCATGTCTCCCTAAAATGTATAAAACCAAACTGTGTTCTGACCACCTGAGACACATGGTGTCAGGACCTCCGGAGGCCGTGTCACAGGCATGCATCCTCAACCTTGGTAAAATAAACTTTCTAAATTAAGTGAGACCTATCTCAGATATTTGGGGTTCATAATCCCAGTGTCTGCAGAGCACTTGGACGTGGACGTCATTCTCACTTCTGAAACCACATATCTATATTCCTCCGATGAGGGCGTCTTCCATATTTCGCATTACTGAATGTGGCCAGACAATTAACAGACCTCACCCACCCCTTCCAAATTCTCTAAATTTAAAACTTGGGGATTCCAGTTCCCTACTTCGTCTTTCACCAGCAGGCCACAGAATCATTTGATTCTTTTCCCCCAGGAGCTTGCAAATTCCCCGCTCAGGACCCTGGCTTCTCATGCTGCCCCCTGAAATGTGTGCAGCTCCTCCTTCCTTCCAATGTCAGGTGATCCCACAACAGCGGACACTGCAGTGCAGCAGACAGTGCAACATCGCAGGCAACAAGTCGTAGAAAAGACAATTTGGTGACGAGAGAGCCAGGTGTGAAAATTCTGGCTCTTCCTTTAATTAGCTAAATTATATAACTTTTCTGACACTCAGTTATCTTTTAACTGGGTAGAATCAGTCCTGCATGTCTGCAGAGGATTAACAGTTTTTACAAAGTGTTTGGTGCAAAATCAATGCTATATAAATTAGAAGCGAGAGAGAAGGGTAAGAGCAAAATGCAGACACAAGTGTACTGTGCTCCTGGCAGGAACAAGAGCAGCTGGGAGCACTGAAAATAAGCCTTATCTGCTCTGGTCCAAGCTGAGCCCTTGCAAGAGTGTGCCTTGTTAGAGACTACCGCTCACACAGCCTTACCTCTGGATAGAGACATCAGAGTAGCTCATAGACTTGAACTGCACTCTGGCCAAAAACACTATATAAAGATTAAGTATGTGACAAAAATTTGTAGCAACATCAGCTAATTGCAAAGCTGAGGAAGAGAAAGTAATTAAAGTTAGAGGTGAGCCAGCAAGCATTTCACTGAATTGTCAGCATAGAACATTCCCCAATCTGAAATCTTCTCTTCCCCTGGTGGGGTTGAGCGGGGGGAGGTCTACAGAACGCTTGCACACCTGTGTCAGTTTCCAGGCATGACTTCCTGGGGCTGACACAGACTGCCCATTTCACCTGCCACAAAGCAGATCAAAGCAATATTGTTTAATGTATTTTCTCTGTGAGTTTCTAAAATTCTTTTTCCCCTAAAGAGTATTTCCTCCACTGAGCCTAGCTTAAAAATAAAACAGGTAATAGATATTCTATGGACAGGTAATCCACAAACAAGACTCATAACCCAAGGTGACAAATACATTGCAGAGACATCATAGCCAAAATCCACATTCCTTCCCAAAAACCACAGATACATGCATCCAGAAGTACAATGAAAAAGGAGAGGAAAGCAGCTCAAAGATATATACCACTTGATCCATCAATCCCATTACTGGGTACATACCCAAAGGATTATAAATCATGCTGCTATAAAGACACATGCACACGTATGTTTATTGTGGCACTATTCACAATATCAAAGACTTGGAACCAAGCCAAATGTCCAACAATGATAGACTGGATTAAGAAAATGTGGCACATATACACCATGGAATACTATGCAACCATAAAAAAGGATGAGTTCATGTCCTTTGTAGGGACATGGATGAAGCTGGAAACCATTCTCAGCAAACTATCACAAGGACAAAGAAACCAAACACCGCATGTTCTCACTCATAGGTGGGAATTGAACAATGAGAACACATGGACACAGGAAGGGGAACATCACACACCGGGGCCTGTTGTGGGGTGGGGGGAGGGGGGAGGGATAGCATTAGGAGATACACCTAATGTTAAATGACGAGTTACTGGGTGCAGCACACCAACACGGCACATGTATACATATGTAACAAACCTGCACGTTGTGCACATGTACCCTAAAACTTAAAGCATAATAATAAAAAAAAAGATACCCTAGAGGTTTGTAAGTGAAAGATAATTCCTATTATGGATGACTTCTATGTGTCTGTGGGTCTATTTTTTGTTGTTTTGGGGTTTTACGGTGCTTTTTAACCTGTATGTTTCTAGGAGTGTCAAATGAAAAAGTCAACATCATTTTGACAAAATGGCAGGTGCACACACCTCTCTCCTCTCTTCCTGACGGGGCTGGAGGGCTTGCCAGTGTCCTGCATGCTTCTCATTCCCTGTTTCGAAAGTCAGAGAAGCTCAGGTGAACACACAGTCTCTCAAACCATGCCCAAGGCTGCCCTGAAGCAGGGAAGACACTGGCCCAGGAACCCCCAGACCTCAGTCCAGGTGCTGGCTCTGTGTGACCTGGAGCTCAGTGTGCGCCTCTGCAAGACAGAGTTGGTGAGAGCTGCTGAGCTGGCCTCGCATAATTATCAAGGGAAACAAATAAAACAACAGATGAAGGTGCTTTGGAATCCAATGTGAACCAAAAGTACCTGAGACAGGTCTCAATCAATTTAGAAATTTAGAAAGTATACTTCGCCAAGGTGAAGGACATACTCACGACACAGCCTCAGGAGGTCCTGATGACATGTGCCCAAGGTGGTCAGAGCAGAGCTTGGTTTCATACATTTTAGGGAGACATGAGACATCAATTAATAGGTGTGAGATGTGCATTGGTTTAATCCAGAAAGGTGAGACAACTTGAAGTGTGGTTTCCAGGTCTTGGGTAGCTAGGAGACCAACAGGTGCATTCTTTTGAGTCCCTCATCAGTCTTTCAGTGAATACACAATTTACAGCTGAGGAAGAGTAGAGGCATAGTCATTGACGCCTTAGTCTGAGGCAGTGAATCTACACTTTTACATAAGCAATAGGGCAGAGGAAGCAATCAGATTTGCATTTGTCTCAGGTGAGCGAAGGGATGACTGAGTTCTGTCTGTACTTTATCCCACACCTGCGACAACAAGCTATCAATTCTGATGAAATTCAGCAGAACTATTTTAAGGTAAAATTCTTGAGGGCAACAAAGAATCTCCTTGTGGACAAATCATGAGGGAGGTATATAGCTTTTTCATCTTGTAGCTATCTTATTTAGGAATAAAATGGGGGGCAGTTTTCCCGAACGCAGCTCCCAGCTTGACTTTTCCCCTTGGCTTAGTGATTTGGGGGTCCTGAGATTGATTTTCATTTCAAACCAACAAGGCCAGCAAACACAGTGTACAGGACTGTTAGCTTCGCATCCTGTGTCTCAGTGCTAACTGGCCCTGCGGTGACGTCACCATATTTCCAAAGAAAAACTGCTTTTTTATTTTATTCATTAATTGATTGATTGAACAAATATTCTTTTAGGTCCTAGAATGAGCTGTTCAGATACTGGGGCTCCTGAGAAGCGCTATCCCTACCTGTTTTTATCAGCCTGTTCTCACACTACTATAGAGAACTACCTGAGACTGGGTAATTGATAAAGAAAAGAGGTTTAATTGACTCACAGTTCTGCAGGCCGTATGGGAAGCCTGGCTGTACAGGAAGCAGGCTGCACAGGAAACTCACAATCATGGTGAAAGGCAAAGGGGAAGCAGACACATCTTCACATCCCCAGAGTAAGAGAAAAAGAGCAAAGGAGGAGGTGCTACACACTTTTAAACACCCAGATCTCATGAGAACTCACGATCACGAGAGCAGCAAGAGGCAGATGCATCCTCACGATCTAATCACCTCCCACCAGGCCCCCTCCCCCAACATTGGGGATTACAATTCCACGTGAGATTTGGGTGGGGACACAAGTCCAACCCATATCACCGTAATAATCCTTATATTTGAGGTGGATAAACATCTTCAGTAATATCTCTGAAGATGAACCCCGACCACTAGGGTCAACAAAACAGCCGGGCCAGGCTGAAAGCAAAGGGAATGCAGGGAAATGTAGAAACCCTGGCACTGAGGAGGGGGTCGGTGGAGGCAAGGAGCTCACAGGTATCACTGATATTCCTTTGTTTTCTTTTTTTTTTTTTTTCTGGAGACCGAGACTTACTCTGTCACCCAGGCTGGAGTGCAGTGGCACGATCTCAGCTCACTGCAGCCTCCACCTCCCAGGTTCAAGTGATTCTCCTGCCTCAGCCTCCTGAATAGCTGGTACTGCAGACACCCACCACCACGCCTGGCTAAATTTTTTATTTTTTTTTTATAGATGGGGTTTCACCATGTTGGTCAAGCTGGTCTTGAACTCCTGCCCTCAGGTGATCCACCTGCCTCAGCCTCCCAAAGTGCCAGGATTATAGGTGTGAGCCACCGTGGCTGGACTGATATCTTGACTATGAAAAAAAAAATTGAGAATTTGAATGCCCATGAATGTAATGTCTTGGATTAAACCTCCCTGTTACCCAGGAAATCTGTCTCTTAGTAAGAGTTAATGCAGAGACAAAAATTCTAAGTCTCAGGTGACAGGAGAAGGTGGTTTATCTGGTGTTTGCACCCTGGAAATGACCTTCATTGTGAAGCTGGGATAGAGCTGCCCTCTGCCCTCAACCTTTTGGCAAAGCACCCAAAGTTGGAGCAACAAGAGTCAGACACACACAAATACATCCAACGAAAAGTCCAGTGCACTAATGATTCTGCCAAATTCCACACATGCACATCTAAATATCAGCTAATATAAAATAGAAACTACACTGGGCACTTTCAAAGGACAGTTGCACGGGCTCTGATAAACTGTAATAGGGATATTTGACCACGGGAGGTCAGCAAAGATTTATCCGAGGAAGGCGCTGGAGTGGAGATGGGTAGGGTAAGAGTTAAGTAGAAAATAGGACAGAGGTGGGCCAGGTACAGTGGTTCATGCCTGCAATCCCAGCACTTGGGGCCAGGTGCGGTGGCTCACACCTATAATCCCAGCACTTTGGGAGGCAGAGGCAGGAGGATCACAAGGTCAGTATTCGAGACCATCCTGGCCAACATGGTGAAACCCCGTCTCTACTAAAAATACAAAAAATTAGCCGGGCATGGTGGCACGTGCCTGTAATCCCAATTACTAGGGAGCCTGAGGCGGGAGAATCACTTGAACCCGGGAGGTGGAGGTTGCAGTAAGCCGAGATCATGCCACTGCAACCCATCCTGGGTGACACAGTGAGACTCTGTCAAAAGAAAGAAAGAAGGAAGGAGGGAGGGAGGAAGGCAGGAAGGAAGGAAGGAAGGAAGGAAGGAAGGAAGGAGGGAGGGAGGGAGGGAGGGAGGGAGGGAGGCAGGCAGGCAGGCAGGCAGGCAGGCAGGCAGGCAGGCAGGCAGGCAGGAAGGAAGGAAGGAAGGAAGGAAGGAAGGAAGGAAGGAAGGAAGGAGGGAAGGCAGGCAGGCAGGCAGGCAGGCTCCAAATAAAAGGAACAAAGTGTGGAAAGGATCTGTGGAGGGAGCAGGGACTAGAAGCAGGTGTGGCTACAGCAAGGAGAGTTTCTGAGCTGAGGATGTCAGGGAGGGAAATGATAAGCGGAACACGGTTCCCTGGCACATTGCCCCCAGGATGCTTTGTTGCTAGAAAGGTGTCCTAACTGATAAGATATCAGGGTCTGTGATCTCTTTTGTCTTCTCACGGTGGCATCGGTGTCATAGTTAACATTATAACACTCCTCCTAAGAAGCATACTTTCTTCAACATTACTTTCCAACTAAAACTTACAAAATATAATGCCTAATAACAACAGTCTGGATGTCTACATTGCAACTTCAACAAATACGCTGGGATATGAACATCAGATTTCACAAAACTATTCCCCGGATACCTACGTGGGAAGCTGTATACAAAGTGTATGTGCAAACACACAGTTGAACGTTCAGCCATAGTTGAAGATAAACTTTGGAATATCATTTCTCCAAGAAACAAATAATTATTCCCAAATGATATTCAGACAAATATTTTCCATCTTTCAAGACCTTACCAAATAATGATTCCGAGGCTCATATTTTTCACCTTTACGAATACTCGAGATGCTTCTATTTGCCATTAACAATAGCGGTGGAGGAAAAACAAACAGAATGAGGATATTGCGTCTCTTTTAATAACACATATTTGCTTTCCAAATGGTCATTACATCTTAACATTAGTAAAGAAAGCTCTGCAGAGGCTCCTGATCCCAGTCCAGGGTTCTCACCGTTATACGGCGGGTGACTCTCCCTTTGGGTCCTTCTCATTATCTTTGGAAGCTAAAGGCAAAAATTTGTCAGCTCAACCCCAGTCAGAGCCAACCTCTCTCCTGACTTCTCCTAAAGGTGACAAAACAAAGAGGATACTGAGGAGCATGGGGTCACAGGGAGCAATGACTCTTTGTGCCGGTAGCCCCAGGCTAAAAGAAATTACCAAGACTGTTGTACGATGGCTAAGTGTGGTGGCTCACGCCTGTAATCCAACACTTTGGGAGACCGAGGTGGGCAGATCACCTGAGGTCAGGAGTTTGAGACCAGCCTGGCCAACATGGTGAAACATCATCTCTACTAAAACTGCAAAATTTAGTCGGGTGTGTAGGTGGACACCTGTAATCCCAACTACTCTTGAGGCTGAGGCAGGAGAATCACTTGAACCTAGGAGGCAGAGGTTGCAGTGAGCTGAGATCGCGCCACTATACTCTAGCCTGGGAGACAGTGAGATTCCGTCTCAAAAAAAAAACAAGAAAAAGGCCGGGGGCGATGGCTCATGACTGTAATCCCAGCACTTTGGGAGGCCGAGTCGGGCGGATCACGAGGTCAGGAGATCGAGACCATCCTGGCTAACACGGTGAAACCCTGTCTCTACTAAAAAATACAAAAAAATTAGCTGGGCGTAGTGGTGGGCGCCTGTAGTCCCAGCTACTCGGGAGGCTGAGGCAGGAGAATGGCGTGAACCCGGGAGGTGGAGCTTGCAGTGAGCCGAGATCGCGCCACTGCACTCCAGCCTGGGCGACAGAGCGAGACTCCGTCTCAAAAAAAAAAAAAAAAAAAAAAAAAAAAAAAAAAAAAAAAAAGACAGTTGTAGGTAGAGAAACGCAGATTTACTGAGAAAGTAGGAAAATACATTGCAAGGAGGCAACAGGCAGGGTCAGCAGAAGAGGAGCCGTCTGCTAGGAGACAAAGGCTTGCCGACGTTTTCACAGAATGGAACTCAGCTGATTGAGAACGCCACGGCAGCCGGAAGCTTAACTTACATTCTTCTTTCAGCCGGGGTGTCTGATCAACTGAGGTGCGTGATGGTGAGCAGGAAGTTTGTGAGTTATGTCTGCTATCTGCGCAGGAGGGCCATATGTCCTGCGCCGTAAAGAAAGGTAGACCTATAGTTTCTCTGCTGTCTCTCCTTGCTTCCCCCTGCTCCTGCCAGCCTGACGTTTTCCCCAGTTAGAACCGCACACGTGGGATCCCTCTGAGGAAAAGAGAAGGTCAGGACCAAGTGGCAAGACAAAAGGGACCCATCCCCAGCAAGCTAGATCTTCATCGGAGACCTGCTGAGTTTCCACTTCCAAGTAATTCTGTTACTCGATCCAGACCCTAAGACAGGATTATTGGATCTCATGCAAGAAAGAATTCAGGGCCAAGTGCCACAGCTCACGCCTGTAATCCCAGCACTTTGGGAAGCCGGGACAGGCAGATCACCTGAGGTCAGGAGTTTGAGACCAGCCTGGCCAGCTGGCCAAGATAGTGAAACCCCATCTCTACCAAAAAAAAAAATATATATATATATATATAATTAGCTGGGCGGAGTGGTGGACGCCTGGAATCCAAGCTACTTGGGAGGCTAAGGCAGGAGAATCGCTTGAACCCGGGAGGCAGAGGTTGCAGTGGGCCGAGATCACGCCACTGCACTCCAGCCTAGGCAACAAGAGTGAAACTCCGTCTCACAAAGAAAGAGAGAAAGAATTTGGGGGTCCACAGAGTAAAGTAAAAAGAAGTTTCTTAAGAAAGTAAAGGAATAAAAACATGGCTACTCCACAGGCAGAACAGCCCCAGTGAACGCTGGTTGGCTATTTTTATGGTTGTTTTTGATCATATGCCAAAGAGGGGGTGGATTATTCATGAGTTTTCTGGGAAAGGGCTGGGAAATTCCCACAACTGAGTGTTCCTCCTCTTTTTAGAACATATAGAGTAGCTTCTGGATGTTGCGTGGCATTTGCAAACTGGCTTAGTGACGGTGGGAGTGTCTTTTAGCAGCTAATGCATTCTAATTAGCAAATAATGAGCACTGAGGCCGACCAAAGGGTGCTTTCGTTGCCTCTTGGTTTTGGTGGGTCTTGGCTGGCTTTACTGCATCCTGTTTTATCAGTGGGGTCTTCGTGAGCTGTATCTTGTGCCAACCTCCTGTCTCATCCAGTGACTAAGTGCCTGACTTCTTGGGGATGCACCCCAGCAGGTCTCAGCTTCATTTCCCCCAGCCCCTGTTTGCGCTGGACTCGCTCTGGTTCCAACACTTGCGACAATTTCTGCGCCCACAAACCCACAACCTGTCTGGATGATTTTCAGATCCCACCCCTGAAGAAATCAGTCGTCCATTATCAGAATAATTCTTTGGCTAATCTATAAAGCATGCAAATGAAATTCATCATTATGTGCATACGCAGAATGTTCCAGCTTGCCAGGCACATCTGTATTTTAATAATAGAAGAATTATAATTGTTTTATGATGACAGGCTCCACACGCCCCTTGGCTTGAATATCATGGGCATATTGGAAAAAACAAGTGCAGTCTAGTACTATTCCCGCCCCACATCAGCTTTGACATGAACACTTCAGTTTCTATTGCAATCTTAGGTGAGGATGCTGCCTTTTTGCCTTTTTTTTTTTTAACTGTGCAAACTAAAAACAGGATTCAGCTAGATAAAGTAATAATGACCTGGATTGGATAGCTCAGCATAACAATTAAGGTTCATAGATTAAGACTGAATACGCAGGAGATTCACATTTCAATGAAAATGTGAATGAACATGGGACGATTTAATTGTAGATGGAAAACATTAGAAGCCGTTAAAGAATATTGACTTCCAGAGGTAATGGCAATGTGAGAACCAGAAACAGAAATTGAGAGAAGAGCACAAGCCTGGCGGTGTCGGATTCATTCCAGATGGGGACTGTGATGAAAAAGTGCAATCCCCTTGCATAATTTAGTGCTTTTTGTCAGTTAAAAATGATAACATTCTGTGTTCTTGGCTGTGACTTAGTTCTTAAACAGTAATGAATCGGTTACTGTCATGAACACTTTCCAATCAGCTCCTTCAGTTTCATTCTACCTACTTAAGACTGAAGACAATTGTTGATGGCAACCCATGATTAAAAATACAAAAGGTAGTCTTACAGAATATCAGAGTTTGCATGGACCTTTAAGGCTGTCAAATCCAACCCTCTGAATCTCCAGATGAATTAACCGGGTCTCAGAGGCAAGAGGGGAAATTACTTCCTGTAAGGACAGAGCCAGGGATACAGACTCTAACCTACTCAACTCCAGTTTGTTGTGGTTCCAGTTCACCCCTCCAGTTCTGCAGAGAGCATAGGCACTAAACCTTGTCAAAGCAAATGCAAAATAAGCAATATAATGAAAATCATCCACAATTGCTGGTTTTTCTCCTTTCACTCTGGCTTCCCCGTGATCCCCTACCCCTCTGTCATCCTCTTGACCAGCGGTTGGCTCACATTTTCTGTAAAGTGTAAATATTTAGGTGATAAACACCTTAGACTTTGCAAGCCATTCCATCTCTGTCATCGTAGTATTGTCAGCAGCGCTGGAACCAGAGCGACTCCATTCTGAGTGAGGGCTGGGGAATGAGGCTGGGGCCTGCTGGGCTGTGTTCTCAGAAAGTCAGGCATTCCTGGCCTCTACATGTTTATGGTTAAGGGAACAGATTGATAAGGTTTACTAAACAGACCCAGACTTAGGAGTGTTCAGATATCCCAATAACTGGAGAACAAACGCACTCCTCATCTTGCTTTAAAGATAATAATATCATTTCTTGCAAAATATAGTGATTAAAAAAAACTGGCCAGGTGCGGTGGCTCACGTCTGTAATCCCACAATTTGTGAGGCCAAGGCGGGCAGATTGAGTTCAGGAGTTAGAGACCAGCCTGGCTGACATGATGAAGCCCTGTCTCTACTAAAAATACAAAAAATAGCCGGGCGTGGTGGCGTCTGCCTGTAATTGCAGCTACTCGGGAGGCTGAGGCAGGAGAATTGCTTGAACCCGGGAGGCAGAGGTTGCAGTGAGCCAAGTTCACACCACTGCACTCCAGCCTGGGTGATAGAGCAAGACTCTGTCTCAAAAAAAAAAAGAAAAAGAAAAAAATTTAATCCTTTATCACAAACTCTTGTAGCACAACACGTCTGCCCATATATACCAGCATTGTACCTAGGGTGGATGCGTTCTTCCTCTTACTTACAGGAATGTCCTACTCTGTTTATGGAGTAGCTGTCCTTTTACCATTGTACTTTCTTTTTTTTTTTTTTTTTTTTTGAGACAGAGTCTCCAGAGTCTTGCTGTGTCACCCAGGCTGGAATACAGTGGTGCAATCTCGGCTCACTGCAACCTCTGCCTCCCTGGTTCAAGTGATTCTCCTGCCTCAGCCTCCCAAGTAGCTGGGATTACAGCCACACGCCACCACGCCCAACTAATTTTTGTATTTTTAGTAGAGACGGGGTTTCGCCATGTTGGCCAGGATGGTCTCGATCTCCTGACTTTGTGTTCCACCTGCCTTGGCCTCCCAAAGTGCTGGGATTACAGGCGTGAGCCACCGTGCCCGGCCACCACTGTACTATCTTAATAAACTTGCTTTTGCTTTGCGCTGTGGACTCGCCACGAATTATTTCTTGAGTGAGATCCAAGAACCTTCTCTTGGGGTCTGGATCGAGACCCCCTTCCTGTAACAGTATGGAAGCCACCGCTGAGGATGTATGAATGAGTAAGCATGGCTGTGACCCAATAGACTTTGCTCAGGGAAACCAGATCAGGCCTGATTGACCCCCAGGCTGAAGTTCGCTGACGCCTGCTCAGTAGGACACCCTGCGTCTTTCAAACACATCTCACTATTTGGGATGATCTACTCTGTTTCCTTGTATATTAAGTGCCTCCCCAGCTGGAATTAATTCTTCACATGTAGGCAGAAGCTTCGGCTCTAGAATTCCCACTTATTCAGCGATCAGCACCTATGACGCTGCCAGCTGTTTGTTGAATGAATAAAATAAATTAAAGACAATTTGACCTCCCAAGTTAGCAGGCTATGGTTGAAATTTTTTTTTTTTTGTCATTGAAAAAGCTTGAAAGTTTTTCTAGTTTACTACAGCAAAGCTTTTTAACAGTCGAGCAGATGGTATAAGCAAGGATTCCTCCAGAGAGAATTCCCCCCAGAGTCTCATTGATAAGAATTAAAAACACTACTTTTCAATAATGCTTGGCCCCTAGGACTTCTAAAGCCATTGAATTGTTGACAGCAGGACAAGGCACAAGGATAGGGAGCATGACAGTTTTTCTTTATTCTGGCTCTTCTATTTAAAGTCAAAATATCAAACATTAAAACTTATCTGATTCAACTTGGCTAACCAGAGAGCAACATGACCCAGTGAGACACAAAGAAGAGGCGGCCCTCAAGTCGATGGTGACAGAGGAGCAGGCAGGATTAGGAAAGTGTATCTCAGAAATACCAGAAAATGCCTATAATTAAAATCTTATTTCAGGGCTGTCTGACCCACCTTTTACTCAGTATGGATTTTTGAAAAGATGTTTGGTTTATTAATTAAAACATCTATAAAATTATGCCCATTTTCTCATTCAAGCAGGTAGCTCTTCTACATAATCACACTCCTCTTAGTTATAAATTTGGTTATTGGAACTTAATGAAGCGAGTACTATCTTTAATCTGATACTTTAACATCTACATTATAAGTTAAAGTCAGATCTTTAGAAAAATCTGCTTCAATAGTCAAACAGAATTCTAGTGAAGGATAGCGTGACAAATAATTTTACGCGTAGAAAATGTCTGCCAAGAATAATAACATCTTCGATTTTACATGCTCAATAATTCATCAGAAGTGTTTAATTAGCTTACTTGATCTTTATGAAAACCCTGTGGCATCATAAAGCAAAAATTATGATGTTCACTTCACAGATAAGAAAACAGAGGGGGGGCGCAGTGGCTCATGCCTGTAATCTCAGCACTTTGGGAGGCCAAAGCGGGCGGATCACGAGGTCAGGAGATCAAGACCAGCCTGGCTAACATGGCGAAATGCCATCTCTACTAAAAATACAAAAAATTAGCCAGGCGTGGTGGCGGGCGCCTATAGTCCCAGCTACTCAGGAGGCTGAGGCAGGAGAATGACGTGAACCCGGGAGGCAGAAGTTTCACTGAGCAGACATCTTGCCACTGCACTCCAGTCTGGGGGCAGAAGAGGTTCCGCCTAAAAAAAAAAAAATCAGAGACCCCACTAAGGTCTTTAGCCAAGGTTACATTATACTAAGCAAGGGCTGTCCAGAACCCAGATCTGCGATCTGCTGGACCCTAACAGAGTGTGCTTCTTTATCAACCATCTGCCTCAGTGAGCACTCGATGTAGGAAACCGATGGAAAGATTCAGCACCGTGTAACTTACACTGTTCGGAAAGCTCAGAATCCCCCTGGGTGGGGCTTCGCTTTCCTTATTTTCCACAGAAGCCATTAAACATCCATAATAAATAAAGCAGGGCAGAATGGATCAACAGGAAAATTATCAGAATACCTAGGTAAATAATAGAAAGATATCTGAAACATCCCCAAATATTTCTAATACTTCAAATATTTCAAAGTTGAACAACATCCTTCTGAATAACCCATGGGTCAAAGAGGGGATCACAAGGGAAATTAGAAAGTATTTTCAATTAATTGATAATAAAAACATATCAAAATTTGTGGAGCACAGCTGAATGAGTGGTTAGAGGGAAATTTATAGAATTCAGTGCTACTGTAACAAAAGAAGAAGGTCTCAAATCAATGATCTAAGCTTCCACCTCAAGAACCTAGTAACAAATAGCAAATTAAACCCAAAGAAAGCAGAAGGGAGAAAATAACTGAGAGCATAGAAATTAATGAAATAGAAAAGCATTAGAGAAAAGTCAATGACACGAGGAGTTGATTCTTTGAAATTCAGTAAAATTAATAAACCTGTAGCCAGGCTGATGAGAGAGAGAAAGAGAAATAACAGGCTGAGGCAGAAGAATGGCGTGAACCCAAGAGACGGAGCTTGCAGTGAGCCGAGATGGCGCCACTGTAATCCAGCCTGAGCCACAGAGCGAGACACCGTCTCAAAAAAAAAGAAGAAAGGAAAAGAAATAACAAATTGCCGACAGCAGGACTTAAAAGGGGACTGTTACTACAGATCCTATAAATATTAAAATTATAATAAGGGAATATCATGACAGTAAGTTTCATAACATATGAAATGGGAAAATTCCTTGAAAGACACAAACTACCAAGGCTCAAACATAGATAACCTGAAAAATCCTACCTCAATTAAGGATATTGAATTCACAGCTTAATATCTTACAAAGAAAATTCCAGGCCCAGTTGACTTCACTGGTGAATTTCTCTAAAAAATTTGATAAGGAAATAATAACAATTCTCCATGTTTGTTCAGAAAATAGAAGAGAAAACACCACTTCCAAGTCCCTTATATGAGACCAAAATTATTCTGATACTAAAATGAAACAGATACAAGAAGAAAAAAAACTATAGACCATGAACAATAACCATAAAAATCCTTAACAAGGCCAGGCGTAGGGGCTCACGCCTGTAATCCCACCACTTTGGGAGGCCGAGGTAGGTGGATCACGAGGTCAGGAGATTGAGACCATCCTGGCTAACATGGTGAAACCTCCACTCTACTAAAAATACAAAAAATTTAGCCGGGCGTGGTGGCGGATGCCTGTAGTCCCAGCTACTCAGGAGGCTGAGGCAGGAGAATGGCGGGAACCCGGGAGGCAGAGCTTGCAGTGAGCCGAGATCACGCCACTCCACTTTAGCCTGGGCGACAGAGCGAGACTCCGTCTCAAAAAAAAAAAAAAAAAAATCCTTAACACAATATTAACAAAATGAAGCTAGCAATATATGAAAAGAAAAATATACCATGACCACCATGACCAAGTGATATTTATCCTACGAATGAAAATTGGTTTGATATTTTAAAATCAAGCAATATAATTTACTATATTCATAGACTAAATTGCAAAAAAAAGTGATTATATTAATAAATGTGTGAAAAGCACTGATAAATGTTGATATCCACTGATGATTAAAAACTCTCACTAAACTAGGAATATGAAAGAACAATCCAGAATTTTGACTGACTACTTACTGGTAATTGTCTATGTTCTACTACATCAAAAACTTAAATAAGGAAGCATAAGTAAACTACAAGTGTAATCATAAAACTTTGTTTTAAAGAAAGAATTCTTCATTGACCATCTGGCAGATTATTTTTTCTTTCCTTTAAAAACTTCCAAATCCTCTCAAATCTTTTTTAAATCACATGAGAGTCCTCAAAGACAACAGACAGCATGCAATAGACCATAAGTATGGGGCTCTGCTGGCCGACTATTTTGCAAAGCTGTCATTTATCTTTTCCTTCTGTGATCCTCACATCGTCTTTTTGTGTCATTGTGGTTTGGTTTTCACTCATTTGAGGTTAAAAATGCTGAGGGATTTTGTTTTCATTTTGAAGTATAAGAGACATTTATAGCTTTCTAAAAAAGACACCTGGTGACAATCAGGAGGTTTTCTTTAAAATTCTTTAATCAGGCCAGGCGCAGTGGCTCAGGCCTGTAATCCCAGCACTTTGGAAGGCCAAAGCGGGCAGATCATGAGGTCAGGAGATGGACACCATCCTGGCTAACTCGGTGAAACCCCATCTCTACTAAAAATACAAAAACAAAATCAGCCAGGCGTGGAGGCGGGTGCCTGTAGTCCCAGCTACTGGGGAGGCTGAGGCAGGAGAATGGCGTGAACCCAGGAGGCAGAGCTTGCAGTGAGCCAAGATGGCGCCACCGCACTCCAGCCTGGGTGACAGAGCAAGACTCCTTCTTAAAAAAAAAAAAAAAAAAAAAAAAATCTTTAATCAGCTCAGAGAGTTAATTAGTCACTTGGTGACCCCACCCCTGTGGGTAAAGTAGGCCCACCAAGCATATATCATTAGCATATATTCTATTTCATTCAAAAACAATACTGATAGAGGAAACAATTATTCAGATATCTTAATTAACTCATCCCAGTGCTCCGATTTAAACACCAGATTATCACCTGGTACTTACACAGCAATTCAATTTTAATCTAGATAGGTATAAAAGTATACATAAAATAGAGGTAAACATACACATACACAATTAGGACATAGTTTTGAAATATTAATCAGACGATTTTTACTTTTCCACCATTTAAAGTAGACAATAATGGGAGGCCAAAGTGGGAGGATCACTTGAGGCCGGGAGTTCAAGACCAGCCTGGAAATCAGTGAGACTCCAGACCTCCATCTCTAAAAAATAAACAAATAAAAAGATAAAATGAAGTAGGCAATGAGGCTAGAGGCTTTGCCAAGAACACCCCCCAAAAATAAAAAGGGTGCAAAGTCTTGCATACAAGTATCATATATTGGTGTATTTCTTCTTCCCTCTATTTTCTCTCCATTTTTCTTCCAGGGCCTCAAAAAAATTTCCCTCTGGGCCCGGCACAGCGGCTCATATCTGTAATCCCAGCACTTTGGGAGGCCGAGGTCGGTGGATCACTTGAGGTCAGGAGTTCAATACTAGCCTGGCCAACACGGCAAAACCCCATTTCTACTAAAAATACAAAATCAGCTGGGCATGATGGAGCACACCTATAATCCCAGTTACTCAGGAGGCTAAGGTGGGAGAATCGCTTGAACCTGGGAGGCAGAGATTGCAGTGAGCTGAGATCCTGCCACTGCACTCCACCCTGGGCAACAGGATGAGACTAAAAAAATCTTCCTCTGGAGCTGCACTAGGGCTCCTCCCAAATTCTAGTTACTTTATTAGGCATTCATTTAACAAACTCGATCAGGTGCCTGCCATGGGCCAGGTACTGGGCTACAGAAGCAGACAAAACAAAGTCGCCTACCTTTTTGGAGTTTGCAGTCTAGATGAGCAACACATACAAGAGCCAGATAGGAAAGCATTAGGCTGCCGGGCGCGGCGGCTCAGGCCTCTAATCCCAGCACTTTGGGAGGCCGAGGTGGGCGGATCACGAGGTCAGGAGATCGAGACCATCCTGGCCAACATGGTGAAACCCCGTCTCTACTAAAAATACAAAAGTTAGCTGGGCACGGTGGCGCGTGCCTGTAGTCCCAGCTACTGGAGGCTGAGGCAGGAGAATCGCTTGAACCTGGGAGGTGGAGGTTGCAGTGAGCCGAGATCGCGCCACTGCACTCCAGCCTGGCAATAGAGCGAGACTCTGTCTCAAAAAAAGAAAAAGAAAAAAAAGAAAGCCTAAGGCATGTCATATGGTGCAAAGTACTGCAGAGAAAAATAAAGGAGAAAAGAGCACCGGAAAGAGGTGGGTGCAACTTTAAAGAGAACGGTCATGGAAGGCCTCCCTGAAAGATTCACGTTTGACCAACAACAGGAAGGAGATGAGCGATGGGGCCATGTGGATGTCAAGGAAGAGAACAGACTACGCAACAAGAACAGCCTGTGCAAAGGCCGTGAGGCAGAAAACGGTCTGAGTTCTCAAAGAAATAGCAAGGACATCAGTGTGGCGGGGGAACATGAGCCATGGGGAGAAAAGCAGAGGAGAGGTTGGAGCCTTCAGAGGACACCAGACCGATGAGGCCCTGCAGCCCACATAAGGAGTGAGATGGGAGGGCACCAGCACATGGTGAGCGGAGGGCGAGATGACCAGGGAGGAGGGGCGGACAAGGATAGAAGCAAGGAGAGTAGTTAGAGGGCTTCATGAGCATCAAGAAAGAGACTGTGGCGGCTCCACACAGGTGGGGCACGGGGTGAACCATGGGTCTAGGGGGCGACAGACAGTCAGATTCTGAGAATACTATGAAGCAATGCTGACAGCATTGGCAGTTGTATTAGAAATGAGGTCTGTAAGCAAAAGTAAAGTTGCAACTCTACCATCTGTGGCCTACACACCTGGAAAGATGGGGTTTCCGTTTCTGAGATGGGGAAGAATGCCAGAAGAAGGAATTTAAGAGGAAGATGAGGAACGTAGCAAAGCAACTTTCAGGAAATTCTGTCAACTGTCACTTCCCTAAGGAAAAAAAAAGAAAAGAACTTCACCTACACATTTATTTATGTGTTTTATTAAGTGAAAGAACCATCTCCTTCATCTGTGATACAACACAGAAAAACAGCAAAACAAACAACCCTTGAGATCAACTGTTTAAGGAATTAGTTCAAAAAAAAAATCTCTCCAATCCAGAATGAGCACTCAAGTTGTGGAATTTTATTTTCTCTTTATTGTAAAGTTCTATACCCAAGAAATCACTTTTATAGGTAGAGTCCTGATTTCCCCAAATTAGCAATGTCACGAAGCTCTGTTTTTATGAGTAACTTGCAGAGGTGTGTGTGACTATGTACACGTGTGTGGACATAAAGGAATGGCTATTATTTTGAAGGCATACATATTTTATACCTGAGGACCACAGCATGCTAAAAAAGAGGCTTGGAGCATTGGCCATAATTTCCAATTTGCATATCACAGCAGAATTAAATAGCAATACATCAACGATGATGCAAGTTGCTTTCTTTATGAAAGAGTTGATTAATTATATTCCCTTTTGCTGCCTAGTAAAGTCAAATTGCGATTTAAAAGATAAAACTCACACCTACTGCCCCTCATTCATTTTTCCCTCAGTCACCTAAAGCTTACTGAGTTTAATGGTCTGTGAAACATTCTCCAAGAGTATGGGAAAGTTATGGGAAGCAATCAATACTGCTTTCCTCATTTTCCCCCTGTCCCCTTCAAGATAACTTATACATTTCTCTCAATATACTGAAGACTCTTCTTCCTCCAAGGGCTCAAATGACAGAAAGAGAAAATGCTTACCACGGTCAGGTTTTACGCTGCCATAACTAACTGTTCAATCAATAAGCAACTTCAGAAGTGGCCTGCTTAGAGAAACGGCTCCTGGCAGTAAGGTGTTCCTATTATGCAGAACTTAGGCCGCAGCCTGGAATTCTATGAATTGGATATGAGGCCACAGGCTGCTTTATTTCTAAATGGAGAGCATGCAACAGCCACTGTCACTGGAGGAAATCTATAAAGTCTTAGTCTTATCACAGAGAGTACTTTCAACATGACCTATTCAGAAAGCTAATGTTCCCTGTAGTACAGAGAACGGAGAAAATAATGAACCACTGCCCCCATAAAACATTGTGATAAATACCTGGTTTAACAGGCCACTACACCAGGATTAATCTTATCTGGGCCCAGGACTCCTCCACAGTTAGCTGGTACTATCAATGGATGGTAACCAAATGAGGAGAAACTATTTTTATTCCCCTAAGCATGAAAAATATCTACCAGCAGCATCTACATACAGCAGAACACCATGCCATTCTCCAAAGTAGAACAGTCTGGTCTTTGTTCCATTGAGAAAATTCTAACCCTAAGTTTATATTACTGGCAATATCTTTACCATAAACCTTCTCTTGTCAAAGTTGCCATGTTTTATTTTAACTGAAATTATTTCTAAGCAGACTCCAAGCTCACCAAGGACAGGGATTTTGTCATATTCATTTTTGCATGCTTTACAGAGGCTAGGAAAACTTCCTACTGCAGGCTAAACATGGAATATATTTGCTGACTTGCTTAAAACATCTACTCTATGTTATCAATGTGTTGCATTGGAAATACTGCAAGAAATGAATTTTTCAGCATTATTAATATTATGTCTAGTTACAACAGACTTCTCTTACTAAGAGCACTGGTTCAATAGTGACAGTTTCATCCAAGGAACTATATAGCTTAGTGTTTTATTAGTACTTGGCTTACACATCAGCGAGACTTATTTAGGGATACCAACCTCCAGCCTTTTAATAAAGAGGCACGGACTGCAGGGCTGTTTACTCTGGGCACATAAGACTCTAACCATATTTAAAGTCCTTGCTTAAAGTATTAATAGATGTTTATTCAACAAATTGTGGGCCCACAGTGTCACATTCTCAGGGTGGCCTCTCTGAAGTTTCCGAAGACCTTAGTAAGAAAGTGGTCGTATAATTTTATTCAGAGCCAATCTGGCCCTGAAATCCTTGGGTTGTCTCTATTTTCCAAGAAACTCAAACATCCTCTCTAACTTCTCTACCAGGTACAGGGGTGTGCTCTCATATGTAAAAATATTTAACTTAATCCAGTTTATCATTGTTGGACATTTGGGTTGGTTCCAAGTCTTTGCTATTGTGAGTAGTTCTGCAATAAACATACGTGTGCATGTGTCTTTATAGCAGCATGATTTATAATCCTTTGGGTATATACCCAATAGTACCTTTGTAGGGACATGGATGAAGCTGGAAACCATCATTCTCAGCAAACTATCGCAAGGACAAAAAACCAAACACCACATGTTCTCACGCATAGGTGGGAATTGAACAATGAGAACATTTGGACACAGGAAGGGGAACATCACACACCAGGGCCTGTTGTGGGGTGGGGGGAGGGGGGAGGGATGGCTTTAGGAGATATACCTAATGTAAATGACAAGTTAATAGGTGCAGCACACCAACATGACACATGGATACATATGTGACAAACCTGCACGTTGTGCACATGTACCGTAGAACTTAAAGTATAATAAATATATATATATATATATATATATATAAATTTAACTTAACTGTGATGCACTCAAATAACCATGATAGTTTGACCAGAAAATACCCCAAAGCAAGGGCTCCTAAAACCCACACAGAGGCTGTGTAACTCGGTGTCCTCAAATAATAAGTTGACAAGGCCGGGCACGGTGGCTTACGCCTGTAATCCCAGCACTTTGGGAGGCCGAGGTGGGCAGGTCACCTGAGGTCAGGAGTTTGAGACCAGCCTGACCAACCTGGAGAAACCCTGCCTCCACTAAAAATACAAAAATTAGCTGGGCGTGGTGGTGCATGCCTGTAGTCCCAGCTGCTCAGGAGGCTGAGGCAGGAGAATCACTCGAACCCAGGAGGTGGAGGTTGCAGTGAGCCGAGATCGCACCACTGCACTCCAGCCTGGTGACAAAGCAAGACTCCGTCTCAAAATAATAATAATAATAAGAAGAAGAAGAAGAGGAGGAGGAGGGGGAGAAGGAAGTTGACAAAGGAGTGGTTGTTTTTCCTTTGGAGATTTCTGCTAAGAAATCAGCACAGAATGTTACTTCAATAGCACCATACAAGAGCCCAATACTTTAAAAAAAAAAAAAAAAAAAACCTCCTTCCTACACAAACCTTCATCATTCTGGTGCGTGCTGTGACTTCTTCAATTACCAGACACAAAAGCAGATCTCAGAGTAAGGTAATATCCTGGAGGTATATTTTTCCTCACAAACTAATAAGGTCACTTACCCCCTTGGGAAAGAATGAAGCAACTGGAACCATCATTGAAAGGAATTTCTCAAAGCCATTTGTGTTCTACTGTGAGCATAGAAGGTTCCTAAGTATTTGAAGTTATGAGGAGTCCCATGAAGGTAACTTTGGTATTTTTTAATAAACTCTCTTGCCACCAGAAAAATTCTTTCTGCACTGATTACCCCCCACGCCGCCCCCTGTTCTCTTCTCAAGGTCAAAGGCCACTGACCCCACGGAGGATCTGACAGTGTGCAGGATACAGGCTAAGCTTCTACAAAAAAAGAGGTCCACAAATACTGTGGTCAAAAATACAGAGATTATTTCTCTGCTTACTGTTATACCGAGGTCAGTGGCTGGTCTAGGCCACCGAGGGCTCATTTGTTCTCATTTTGTTGTTTGACCTCCTAGGGGCGTGGGCTTCACCCATGCAGGAAGCTGGAATGACAGCTGCTCACCTGTGAGCCCAGCCGGCTACTGGGCTGATGGCCAGTGAAGTCAAGGCTGTCAAGGACAGGAGGTTCATAAAAAAGAAAACATTATGCAATGGGAAGGCTTGCCTCTGAAAACAGCCACCTCCCTAGCTCCTTATAAAATGTGGATTCGGGAATCCCATGAAAGAGCCAGGTGGGCCTCGCATGACCCCCTCACCTAGAGAAGGCACGGGGCAGGTGCCACCTGCTCATGTGGCTAATGCCCCCAGCTGGCTGCAGAGCCCCCTGTCCCTGCACATGGGTGAATGTGGACAGGAGGTGGACTGCACAATAGGTTGGCCGTCTGCTCATTCTAGCACCCCTGGTTTGCTGACACTGTTTATGGTCGTGGTTCAACCTGCCCAATGCCCAGCGCTGTCCTCTGCCATCACTGCAATCATCCACTGGCACTCCTGGTGAGGCTGCCCCCACACCCAGCACCATAGCCGCTTCCTAGAATCTGGAACAAAGAGAATAAAGGGCAGGTGTCCTCCCTTCTAAAGGAGGTGATCAGGAATTTGTACACATCACCTCTGCTCATATCCATCTTCCAGGATGTGGGCTAGCCAGACTTGTCCTCAGGTGTCAGCACCTGAAGTTCCATGTCCCAGGAGGCCCCACAGACCAGGACAAACCAGGCTGACTTGTCCCCTAAAGAGGGCTCCACTACTGTACTAAAAGAAAGAAAGGGGATGTGGGCCTTGGGGATCCACTGAAAGCCCCTGGCCCCACCTTCTCTAACTTACGGGTCTTCATCTCTCCTCTGCTTTCTGCTTCTTCTTTGTAAAGTTCACTTTACTTGGCCAGGCGTGGTGGCTCAAGCCTGTAATCCCAGCACTTTGGGAGGCCTAGGCGGGTGGATCACCTGAGGTCAGGAGTCCAAGACCAGCCTGGCCAACATGGTGAAACCCTGTCTCTACTAAAAATAGAAAAATTATCCAGGTGTTGTGGTGGGTGCCTGTAATCCCAGCTACTTGGGAGGATGAGGCAAGAGAATCACTTGAACCTGGGAGGCAGAGGCTGCAGTGAGCCGAAATGGCACCACTGCACTCCAGCCTAGGCAACAGAGCAAGACTCCATCTAAAAAAGAAAAAAACAACTCACCTTACTTAACAAGTGGTAGACACCTTTCCCCTGTTCTTTTGCTACCTGATATTGCCAGCCCTTGTCTCCCAGGACAATGCCAGGCCTTGAGGGAGTGGATTGGCTGTTTATTTTATGTATATCTGGAGCTTCATGTCTTTCTAGATGTGGATAGAGTGACAGATACATACACATACACATTTATATGACAAAAGACAGATGATACAATATTAGCAGCACATACCTCAGGGTTGGAATTAGCAAGTAATGTTTAACTTTTTTTTTTTTTGTCACAGGGTCTCACTCTGTCACCCAGACTGGAGTGCAGTGGCGCAATCTCAGCTCACCGCAACCTCCACCTCCCAGGCTCAAGTGATTCTCCTGCCTCAGCCTCCCAAGTAGCTGGGATTACAGGTGCGTGCCACCACACTCGGCTATTTTTTGTATTTTTAGTAGAGACAGGGTTTCCCCATGTTGGGTAGGCTGGTCTCGTACTCCTGACCTCAAATGATCCACCTGCTTCTGCCTCCCAAAGTGCTGGGATTACAGGCGTGAGCCACCGTGCACAGCCCATTTAACCTTTTAATGTGTTTTCCAACTTTTCTACAATGGCTGTTCATTCCTTTCCTAGGTAGACACAGCTATCATTTTTAAAATGCTTGTTAAATAGTCTTCATAGTAGGAGAAAAGTTGCCTTATCTCCATTTCTAAGTCCATAATAGAAATACCTATAACACCAACCATGCCTCTTTCTGGTCACACCAAGTATTCTTCTGTTTGTTTGTTTGTTTGTTTGTTTGTTTGTTTGTTTTTGAGACAGTTTTGCTCTTGTTGCTCAGGCTGGATTGCAGTGGCGTGATCTCGGCTTACTGCAACCTCCACCTCCAGGGTTCAAGTGATTCTCCTGCCTGGGATTACAGTAGCTGGGATTACAGGCGTGCGCCACCATGCCCAGTTAATTTTTCGTATTTTTAGTAGAGACTGGGTTGCCTCACGTTGGCCAGGCTGGTCTCGAACTCCTGACCTCAGGTGATCCACCCACCTCGGCCTCCCAAAGTGCAAGGATTACAGGCATGAGCCACTGCGCCCAGCCCACACCAAGTATTCTACAAACAAGTATAATCCTATGTAATCTTCTGGGAGAATTACTGTTATTGCCCATTTACACAGGTGAAACCTGAGGCTTTGGAAGTTTAATGTTCTTACATTGTCACTGGCTAACAGGTGAAAGAGAACTTCTTTCTCAGAAGTCTGGAATGATCGTTTCTAACACTTATTAGTGCTTACCATGTGCCAAGTACCGCTCTAAAAATGTAACATATTTTAATTAACTCAACCCTCATGTCAAGCCTGTGATTTAGGTACTATTATGATCCCTTAAGGCCTGAGGCTGCAGACACAGGTTGAGTAACTTGCCCAGACTCACAGAGCTCGTTAATGCTTCCTTGCCATGGTACTAATGGACGTCTCTAACTCTATCTAAATGGCCTCAGGGCTTTCCTTCTGAAGGCCACAAGAATGAACGAGGTTATTGACTAAAAAAAATAAAAGAATCATGAAAACTTTTCATTTTTTTAGGTTGCAAGTAAGTTGAACATTTTAATGGAATGAAAAGCAGTATGTTCAATGCACAGAGAATCACTAGGTGGACCCTTCTATCATTGTCAATGTCATTCGCAAGACTAAATTTCCACCTGGCACTTTGAAGTCCCTTATTATATATTGGGCCTAAAACAGTATTCTATAAAGCTTAAATTGGTATTAACTATGATCATCTTGATGTCTACGGTAGATAATAAACAAGGTCGTACATACTTTACTAAACAATTTTGGTTTTTCACCAACATTTTTTTCTTTAAAAGATTTAGACTAACAGAATTATTTAGCATTTCGAGTCATGTGCTTTATTTAGCAAGTGAGTAAAAATATTGGAATATTGAAGTATTTGCATAAAAAATCAAATGGTGGTGTTTTGTAATCTCTATTATATTTCCTATTAAGGTTTCATATATTACTTTCCCATTGTTCCTGACTTTGTTATCCTATATATAAACAGAAACATGGATGAGTAAAAAAAAAAAAAAAAAAAAAAATGAAGTCCTTTATTATGATCACTACCATCTGCAAAGGCAGGTGGCCGTCCCCTCCTGTCATCAACTAATTTTCACAACTACCTATGTTTTGATTTCATGTATCTTTACCTGTGCAAACCAATAGATGCTCCCCATTGTCCAAATGGTCTCAAATTTTTTGAGTACTCAACCTATTCAAAGTATGAGCCTAGAGATGTCCTGTCTCATGCATTACGTGGAGGATTGAAAGTTGGTACAGGGCAGGGTGCAGTGGCTCATGTCTGTAATCCAACACTTTGGTAGGCTGAGGCGGGCAGATCACCTGAGGTCAGGAGTTCGAGACCAGTCTGGCCAACATGGTGAAACCCCGTCTCTACTAAAAATACAAAAATTAGCCAGGCATGATGGCACATGCCTGTAAACCCAGCTACTCAGGAGGCTGAGGGAGGAGAATTTCTTGAACCTGGGAGGCAGAGGTTGCAGTGAGCCAAGATCATGCCACTGCACTCCAGCCTGGGCGACAGAGCCAGAATGTCCCCCCCAAAAAAAGTTAGTATAGGTTGACTATCCCTTATCCAAAATGCTTGAGACCAGAAGCATTTCAGATATCAGATATTTCTGGATTTTGGAATATTTGTATACTTAGACATAATGAAAGATATTGGGGATGGGACCCTAGTATAAACACAAAATTCATTTATGTCTCATGTATGCCTTATACACATGGCCTAAAGATAGCTTTATTCAATATTTTTAACAATTCCATGCAGGAGATGACATGTACAATGTATACAATGTATACAAACTTCACAAGCGTCATGTAGCCTCACATCATTCCTGACTCTGAGTTTGTATGACCAATAAGCAATCATTTCCTTATACTTATTCACACATAAGTAGTTAACCATAAAAGGTGACATACCATTAATACAGTGAAGAAATGAAGTGTTAAGGGTCACTAAACAGCACGGTAGCCTCACCAGAACACCCGCATTCACTGTTAAACAGCAGCAACAACATGGCAGGCCTTCAACTTCCATGCTGGAACTCACATTTTGGATTTTGGAGCATCTCGGATTTAGGATTTTTGGATTAAGGATACTCAACCTATACCAGCTTCCTGAAGCATTTTGCATGTAATGCTTCCCTATGCAAATTTCATGCGTTGTCATCACAGTTGGCCATAATAAAAGTTTCCCATTTTTTAATAGGAATCCACTACAGATTCCACTAATAGAAAAGTTACTGTTGAAGATTTGCCTTTTAAGCAGCTCATAAGCTAAAATGTGCCTTGGAGGTCTTCCGAGCCAGGAGCTCCCACCCTCCAAGTCGCCATAGCCTGAGTGCCTCATGCTTGTCACAGTGTACACCCCCACACTTCCACCAAAGGTTGAAAGCCATTTTTGCTAAGACTAAGGACAAATAGTGCACCGCGATGTCTGTCAGAAGGAAGATGGAGCCGCAGTTCCTGTGTCTCTCCGTCTGTGCTCCTCCTCCAAAGTGCAACACATTCATCTCCAGGAAGAGCACAGAGTAATGCCAAGCAGAGGCCAGTGGAGTAGCTGGTGGACCAGGAAGGAGCCCTGCCTCTGTGCATGTGAAATACATCAGGACAGCAGGCAGAGGGACCAACAGGCAGCCACTTGGTAACTATACAGTTTCTAGAGGATTCTAAAACTTGCTTTTAGTTTTATTTATTTTTAAATTATTATTATTATTGTTATCATTTTTGAGACAGAATTTCCCTCTTGTTACTGAGGCTAGAGTGCAAAGGCATGATCTCAGCTTACTGCAATCTCTGCCTTCTGGGTTCAAGCGATTCTCCTGCCTCAGCCTCCTGAGCAGCTGGGATTACAGGCATGTGCCACCACGCTGGCTAATTTTGTATTTTTAGTAGAGATGGGGTTTCTCCATATTGGTCAGGCTGGTCTCGAACTCCCTACCTCAGGTGATCCACCCACCTCGGCCTCCCAAACTACTGGGATTACAGGCGTGAGCCACTGTGCCCAGCCCTATTTTATTTTTTTTTAGACAGAGTTTAGCTCTTGTCATCCAGGCTGGACTGCAATAGTGCGATCTCGGCTCACTGCAACCCCCACCTCCCGGGTTCAAGCGATTCTCTTGCCTCAGCCTCCTGAGTAGCTGGGATTACAGGCATGTGCCACCACGCCTCGCGAATTTTGTATTTTTAGTAGAGACGGGGTTTCTCCATGTTGGTCAGGCTGGTCTCGAACTCCCGACCTCAGGTGATCCACCTGCCTTGGCCTCCCAAAGTGCTGGGATTACAGGCGTGAGCCACTGTGCCCGGCCACTTTTAGTTTTAGTCTCGTGTTTACTTTTTAATGGCATCCAGAATCCCACAGATATCCTAAGACTTGAAAGTGTGAAGAGGATGAGAAGCCTTGATTTTTTTCCTTTATACTGATCAAGTGACTGGGACCCTGACAGGTTCAGTTTCTAGGCAAAATCACCTATCAAGTAGGGGTAAATCTGATGGGTACTTTACTCAGAGCTCTTTTTTCCCCACGTAAAATCTTTAACATCCCAAAACAGTGCAGACACCAGTGGGCTCCAACCACTTTGCAAGCAAGTGAGCCAGACAACTGTCCCAGTCAGCTCAGGCCACTACAGCAAAACACCATCCGCTGGGTGGCTTGTCAGCAACAGAAATTTGCTCACCAATCTGGAGACTGCAGTGCCAAAATCAGGGTGCTAGCATGGCTGGGTTCTGGTGAAGGCCCTCTTTCCAGGGCTTCTTCCAGGGGTTGCAGGTAGCCAACTTTTCACAGTAGCTCCACAGGGTACAAGGAAAAGGGAGAGCTCTCTGAGGCCTGTTTTGAGCTCTCTGAGGCACTAACCCTATCCATAGTTGCTCCACTCTCACGACCTCGTCAGCTCCCAAAGGCCCCTCTTCTTACTACCATCACCTGGAGAGAGATGTGAATCTGTGGGACACAATCATTCAGTGCATTACAAGTTACATCAAAATACAGCTCTAAGGATGGGCTCGTGTACTTTGGAAGGCCAAGACCAGAGGATCACTTAAGCCCAGGAGTTCGAGACCAGCCTGGACAACGTGGCGAAACCCCATCTCTACAAAAAAATACAACAAATTCGCTTGGCATGGTGGCTCGTACCTGTGATCTCTGCTACTCAGGAGGCTAAAGCAGGAGGACTGCTTGAGCCCAGGAGGTCAAGGCTGCAGTGAATCATGATCATGCCACTGCACTCCAGCCTGAGCAACAGAGCAAGACCTTGTCACAAAAAAAAAAAAAAAAGTAATAATAATAAGACTGTTCTAGGCCGGGCGTGGTGGCTCAAGCCTGTAATCCCAGCACTTTGGGAGGCTGAGGCGGGTGGATCATCAGGTCAGGAGTTCGAGACCAGCCTGACTAACATGGTGAAACCACGTCTCCACTAAAAAATACAAAAAAAAAAAAAAAAATAGGAGTGTGGCAAGCACCTGTAATCCCAGCTACTCAGGAGGCTGAGGCAGGAGAATCACTTGAACCCCGGAAGTGGAGCTTGCAGTGAGCCGAGATCGTGCCACTGCACTCCAGCCTGGGTGACAGAGTGAGACTCTGTCTCAAAAAAAAAAAAAAAGAAAAAGAAAAAAAAAGACTGTACTCAGAGTCCACCCCAGGACCAATTTGCTTGCTGACATTCCTTGCTGGGTCTCCCACACTCCACTCTTCCCTTCTGAGTGAGTCTCGGGGTGACACTTGCTGGCTCTTGGCATCCTCCCCCGGTTCAAAATCTTATCCTGCACTCCTCCCCCGTCTGTCACCCCAGATTCTTACCTACAGCCCTCACAGCTGAACTCTGCCCTCGTTATGTCTACTCCCTAGAGCTCAGCAGCCAGCTCCTTCTCCAGCACAACAGTCTCTTCTAACAAATTCAGTAATTCCAAAATCAAACCCTACAAGGCCCCCCCAAGTATAGCAGCACTAAGGGTCCCCAATGTCTGGTTTTCTACCACAATCTGCTGGAACAGGGCACAGCCTCCTACTTGCACCTACCTCAGCCTCTCAAGCACAGTTTAAGTTACTTATAACTTGACTGAATGCATTCATACATTTATTCAGCCATTGACTCAGCAAACATTCATTGCCTGGCATGTGCCAGGCCTGGTGCTAGACACTGGGACACAGGAATGAATGAAACAAAACACAAGCACAAAGACAAACACAGTGCCTGTCTTCAAAGAGCCTGCAAACCAAAGAGAGAAAAGCAGATGTGTGGATTGAAATGTTATTGCGGGAGTGCATAGATTCACACAGGTGTGTCCAATCTTCTGGCTTCCCTGGACCACATTGGAAGAAGAATTGTCTTGAGCCACACATAAAATGCACTAACAGTATAGCTGATGAGCTAAATTTAAAAATGACAAAGAGCTTCCATAATGTTTTAAGAACGTTTAAAAGTTTATATCGGGCCTCATTCAAAGCCGTCCTGGGCCACGATTTAGACAAGCTTAGTGTAGAGGAACAGAAAGAGACAGAAAGAGAAAAAAGCAAAGAGACAAAAGGGAAAGAGAGATGAAAGAAAGATGGAGAGAAAGATGGAGGGAGAGGGACAGAGGAAAGAAAGGAAGGGAGAGAAGGAGAGGAAGAAAAAGAGAGAATCAAAAAGACAGAAGGAGGGAGGGAGAAAGAGATGTAGAGACATAGGGAGAAAGGGAGAGAGGAAGGCAGAGAGAGTAAGAGAGAGTAAGAGAGAGATGAGAGAGATGAGAGAGAGAGAGACAGAGAGATGTCCAGAACTCCTAGCTCTCAGCTCCAGGCTATCTGAACCGTCAATATCACAACCACCTTAGTGGGGGAGGCGGTACTATCAGTATCCTTACCATTTAGACACGAATACTGAGGACAGAAAATTGAAATAATTTGCCCAAGTTTCCTCAGCTGGTGAAATCAGGATTAGAGCACAGACGTCTTAGATTAGAGCCCAAAGCCTTAAGATCTCCGCTTTATTATCCAGAGAGTTGATTTGCCATTTGGCCTGGAGCCTGCCTCACCCTCTCTCCCCACTGAAGAGCTGTTTCCACTCTGACCCACTGCTCACCTTCTCTCAGTCCCTCACCTCGTGCTGGTCACCATCAGACATATGGGCTGAGTGATAGAGAATAGGGAAGAAAGAGGAAGGTGAGAAAAGGAAAAGACTCTCCTGCCATCTACAGGCCCCACTGGCAGTGACAGAGGTGGAGAGGGGTCAGGGATAGGGACCTGAAAAGGACCATCTCTTCATCCATCCATTCATCCATCCATCCATTCATCCATCCATTCATCCATCCACCCATCCATCCACCCATCCATCCATTCATCCATCCAGTCATCCATCCATCCATCCATCCACCCATTCATCCATCCATTCATCCATCCATACATACATACATTCATCCATCCATTCATCCACCCATCCATCCGTCCATTCATCCATCCATTCATTCATCCATCCATTCATCCATTCATCCATACATACATACATACATACATACATACATACATACATACACACATACATACATTCATCCATCCATTCATCCATTCCTCAGCTCCCCTGCTCATGGCCACCTCCATTCCTTCCTGGCAATGCCACCCACCCCACCATGGTCAGCAGATCGAGCTGAGGGAGAGAGCAGGGAAGTAAGCATCATCCTGCAGGGCTCTTCACCCTTCCCCAGTGCCTCTCATCAGGGGCCTGACTCCATGTGACATGAGGAGCCCCTCCCATGTCCCATCCCTGCCTGCTGTGGACCACAGACCAGCGGCCCTCCACCACAGCACACCCACTGGAACCAATTCCAGGCATCAGGAGCTGGGTCGCATGTCAACATCTTAGTGCACAGGAGGGCAGGCTCTCTGTCACTGAGACCACACTGTGACCCAGGCGCTTTACACGGGTGGACACTCAGTAGCTCTGTCCTTCCTTAAATTAATCTGGCTTTGATGGGTGAACCTCAGGCTCTAGAACAACCCCACACATGCATGTTTCTATAGAAACTAGTTTCATGTTCCAAACAGTTTTGAAACAACCATTTGAAATCCAGACAATTTGTAAAGTATTTGGGGTTTTTGTTATTGTTATTTTTTGTTTGTTTTCTGAGAAGGAGTCTGTCTCTCTTATCCAATCTGGAGTACAGTAGCACGATCTCGGCTCTCTGCAACTTCTGCCTCCCAGGTCCAAGCGATTCTCCCCTCTCAGCCACCCAAGTAGGTGGGACTACAGGCACACACCACCATGCCCGCCTAATTTTTGTATTTTTAGTAGAGGCGGGGTTTCACCATATTGGTCAGGTTGGTCTTGAATCCCTGACTTCAGGTGATCCATCTGCCTCGGCCTCCCAAAGTGCTGGGATTACAGGTGTGTGCCACCGCAACCGGCCTATAAAGTATTTTGCATTGTTAATCTTGTTGAAGTTTATTGATTCCACAATGTGCATTGAGTGCTTAGTAGGTGCTAGTTATGGTGCAGGCAAAAGACCAAAAAACGATACTGTAAAGGGCTCGCATTTGCCAGGGATGTGACCAACTCCTTCAGGGTGAGTCTGGTGATCCTCGCAGCAGGAGTGGGGAAAGAACGAATTCTGCCGTGGCTGTCCTAGGAGGCTTAATGGAGTGAGGGTCTCCGAGTGCACTAAGGTTAGCCATAGAGAGAAAAGATGAGGAAAGACCTTCCAGGCTGGAGGAAGAGCCAGAGCAAAGCTCAGAGGCCCACAGGAGCTGGGCATTGTGGGAAACAGAAAGTGGCTTTGTGTCTACAGCAGTGGCTACAGTGGAGGGCACAGAGAAAATGTGGCCAAAAAAAAAAAAAAAAGAAGAAAGCTTTGACAGTCTCACTCAGGATTCTGGACTTTGCCTAAGTCTAATGGCAATTGAGAGCCATCAGGAGATTTTAAGCAGGAAAGAAACGTGATCAGATTAGGGTTTGAGAAAGACGGCTCTCTCAGCAGTGCAAAAGCTGGATTGAAGTGGGGAGAAACTGGTGTGAGAGCCAAGATAAATCTGAGCCTCTGCAGACTTCTCCACCTTCCTGCGTAGACCCTGAAATGTGTCTTTAATGGATTCTATAAATTTCCACACAAGGATAACAACCTAGTGAAAATTATAGCATCTGTATCCACCAGTTTAAACTCCATTATTATAACCATCCAGGGCAACATGTGTTATGATTTCAAACAAAGAGGTTACCATTGATACACAAGGCAGGTCGTGGAGCTCACTTATCGGAGATGCTCAAGGTTTTAGTAATAACGCATTCCTGACAGCAGCAGCAGGGCGTTTAATCAGAATGATCTTCCTTCCTTTCTCCTTTGGGACTACATCCCTCCCACTCCAAAAGTGCCCCTTTAAGGCTAACATTCTTGCTGATTCTGACTGTTCATGCAAAGTGTATTTCTAACTAAAATGCTTAAGTGTTACAATAGCTGCTTTTTTGGTTTTTGTCTTTTCTTTTGGGGCGGTTGAAATTTATCCTGGTAATGGTTGCAGAACATCATATTTTCTCTTTCTACCTATTTCCACATCATTTGCCACTATTTCTTTTTTTATTTTATTTTTATTTTTGAGATGGAGTCTTGCTCTTGTCACCCAGCCTGGAGTGCAATGGCACGATCTTGGCTCACGGCAACCTCCGCCTCCTGGGTTGAAGCGATTCTCCTGCCTCAGCCTCCTGAATAGCTGGGATTACAGGTGCCCATCACCACACCCAGCTAACTTTTGTATTTTTAGTAGAGATGGGGTTTCACCATGTTGGCCAGGCTGGTCATGAACTCCTGACCTCAAGTGATCCACCCGTGATGGCCTCCCAAAGTGCTGGGATTACAGGCGTGAGCCACCATACCCAGCTTTGCAACTATGTCTATAGCCACCCTTCACATGCTTGCGTCTAGTCTGCAAGCTGACATCTCCTTTGTGCCCCTGACTTACTGCCTTTTGTGATTATTCCTTTTATATTATGCCTCCCCCACTAGAGTTCTCCAGAGAAAAAGAGCCCATATGGATATAGAGGAGGCAATTTATTATGAGAACTGGCTCACATGATTCTGGAGGCTTTGAAGCCCTGTGATCTGCCAGCTGCAAGCTGGAGGAGACCCGGGAGAGCCAGTGGTGTAATTCAGTCCAAGTCCAAAGGCCTGAGGCCTGGAGGAGCCAAGGCTGTGAGTCCCAGAGTCCGAAGGCCCAGAAATCAGGAGCTCCAACATCCAAGAGCAGGAGAAGATGGATGTCCCATTTCAGATAGAGAGAGTAAATTCTCCCTTCTACTTTTAAACCCTCAACAGATTGGATGAGGCCCACACTGATGAGGGTGGGCCTTCTTCACTCCATCTACTGATTCGAATGCTACTCTCTCATGGAAATACCCTAACAGACACACTCAGAAGCAATGGTTTGCCAGTTATCTGGGCATCCATTAGCCCAGTTGAGTTAACACATAAGATTAACTGTCACATTCTCCTACCCGAGTCTTCCTTTCTGTGGCTTAAGGAGTATGGCCCCACTCACCCCTCAGTGTCCAGGGATGGTCCCATATTCCCAGCTTGACCAATATGCGTACTTTCCCCCAGACACAGTGGCCATTCAGGGACAGCCAGTTGACCATAATTAGGCCAATAAGACTCATTCCTGGGATTCCTGGAGATGCCGGAAAAGAGATGCTCCCTTTCCTGAACCTGCAAGCTTTAAAGCCATGAGCTGCCAGGGGCTCTACATGGAACCTGAGAAGGAAGCACATCTCCAGAGACAGAGAGCTGAGATAGAAGGAAGGACAAAGAAGGTTCTCGGGAATTGTTTGAGCAATGGGGCTTGACTGTTACTACTGCAAGGAACTCTGAGTTCCAGCACTTCTTGTTTTCTTCCCTTTAGCAAGTCTGAGTTGGGTTTTCTGCACCTGCACCTAAAGAGTTGCAACCAGCATCGCAGGCGACATCTCTGGTTCCTGGAGGTCTGGAAGCAGTGCAGAGGGAAGCGTGGGAACTCACAATTCCACTTGGTCCTATGAGTCACTAGCCCTATCTCCACAGCCTCTCAAAAGGTACATGATGCAAATCCCTCCCCACAAATCTTCATCACCGTGTTCTCATTCATTCATCCCATTAATATCTTCAAGCTCTTCTTGTGGGTCAAATGAGGTAGTTATGTTAAACTCTAATTTGAGACCACACAAGTTGAATAAGGAAACTGAAACTATTCCAGGTTTTGTACAAGATTGTAACGCTCACAAATTATGAAGGTAGAATCGACAAGTGTTGAATTCTCTGCCCTATGACATTGCCAAGTGAAGACATGTTTCTCACCCTCATAGTCCTCCCGAAGAACTGAACACATAAACACAACAAGTGACTACATCGTAATGAGAAATAGAATAGTGATAAACAAAATTCCACCGGAGCATAGGGAAACACCGGGAAGCATTCTGGGAGATCAGTGGTCAAAAAAAAGAAAAACCGTCAGAAAGGAGGTTTTGGGTGCCAAAGAGTGAAGGAGAGCATTATGTAGGAGAGAGTGGAGAATGCATTGCAAACAGAAAGACCCACTTAGCAATGACTGGGAGGGGTAAAGAAGGCCACATGCACTAAATGTGGCCCGGTGCCTAACACAGCTCAGCCTGGGGGTGAGGTTTGGGAAGGTGAGCTGTGAGGCTAAGAGAAGGTGTCAGTAGACATTAGGAGAGGTCTGGAATGCCACACAGGCACATGTGCCCTTAATCTCTAAGGAGATGATCCCTTAAAACTCTCAAAGCAAGAGATTGGTGCGATCAGATCTCTCTCCTCATCAAAGGAGCTTTCAGATTAAAAGAGACGCCCATGGGCCGGGTGCGGTGGCTCACACCAGTAATCCCAGCGCTTTGGGAGGCCGAGGCGGGCGGATCATGAGGTCAGGAGATCGAGACCATCCGGGCCAAGATGGTGAAACCTCATCTCTACTAAAAATACAAAAATTACCTCGGCATGGTGGTGGGCACCTGTAGTCCCAGCTACTCCGGAGACTGAGGCAGGAGAATTGCTTGAACCTGGGAGTGGAGGTTGCAGTGAGCCGAGATTGCACCACAGCACTCCAGCCTGGCAACAGGGCAAAACTCCATCTCAAAATAGATAAATAAATGAATGAAATGAAATGAAATAAAAGCGACACACATCAACGTGGTGCAGAAGAAAGCATGTACAACGTCAGACAGCCATCAATGGCTGTAGTGACGGCAGTCCCTGCAGAACGGTCCCTGTGGCGACCACATCACACCTGCCATTTAGAAAGGCAATTCCTTGAACAGGTGGAATTATAATCAGGAGCAAAAAGTAATGACCTGATAGTGAAGAGGCATTTTTTTTTTTTTGAGATGGAGTTTCACTCTTGTCACCCAGGCTGCAGTGCAGTGGCATGATCCCAGCTCATTGCAACCTCCACCTCCTAGGTTCAAGCGATTCCCCTGCCTCAGCCTCCTGAGTAGCTGGGACTACAGGTGCCCACCACCATGCCTGGCTAATTTTTGTATTTTTAGTAGAGACAGGGTTTTGCCATTTGGCGAGGTTGCTCTCGAACTCCTGACCTCAGGTGATCCACCTGCCTCGGCCTCCCAAAGTGCTGGGATTACAGGTGTAAGCCACCGCACCCAGCCTGAAGAGTCATTTTCAATAGCTCAAGGCAAGGATGGTCAGGCCCTGATGAAGATCGCAGACACAGAAAAACAGAGCCCTGCATCTTCCTTCTTGTCCTCACGTCCCACTGCCCACTCCCCAGGTAGGAACCAGGACACCGTGATGCTCCCGTGCTGCGGACCCCTCCTGTGTGCCTGGACTGAGAGTCTCCAAAGGCCTCCCTTGGCTTTAGTGCTTGCTCTCCCTCTTTGACTTCTTTTGCAGATTTCAAACAAAAAGTAATTTCTTTGGGAAATGGTATTAAGGATGCTTTACCTTCTGAAAATGAATAATGCTTTTTTATTACTGTTTTATTATTATTAATTATTATTATTTTGAGACAGCCTCATCTCTGTCACCAAGCTGCAGTGGGGTGGCGTGATCTGGGCTCACTGCAACATCCGCGTCCCAGGTTCAAGCGATTCTCGTACCATAGCCTCCCGAGTAGCTGGTATTACAGACCTATGCCACCATGCTTGGCTAATGTTTATATTTTTAGCAGAGATGGGGTTTTGCCATGTTGCCCAGGCTGTTCTTGAACTCCTGAACTCAAGCGATCCGCCTCCCTCCGCCTCCCAAAATGCTACGATTATATGCGTGAGCCACCGCGCATGGCCTATTACTGTTTTAGAATACTAATTCTCGGGTTGGTTGAAAATAGTCTGTGTTCCTCAAAAACCTACTCAAGGGCACAGTTAGTTACACAATTTTTTAATTTCATGTTTTATAAAAATCAATCAACTTTTCAAACCCTGACATAAAGACATAAATGCACCTCAAAAAAGCTGTAGACATTTCTATACATTCTACTGGAAAAAAATTAAAAACTTTGAAAAATGTATGGCAATACATACTGTGGCATAAAGCCTTAATTTAATATTGGTAATTAATTACAGTATTACATCTTGAATCCAATGAGTAAATTTAGATCTCCGTATATTGGATATAAAATCATTTAACAGGAGTTGACAACCGCATGCCTCAGCAACTAATTAATTGTGTTACAACCCACCAATCAATAAGCACAGGCCTAACACTAACTGAGAATGACATGGCGCCTCCACGTGGCGCCTCCAGTGCTCTCCGTGCGCTATTCCCTGAAATTTCCAGAAAGCCTGTGTGCCAGCGTTACCGTGGCACTGCAGGCGGTGGAGAGGCCAAGTGCTTCAGGACGACCCAGCCTCTGCAGTCTCAGTCTCTGCCGGCCCCACTTGCTTTGGTAATTTCATTCTCCCTAATTTCCCCACCACCACCCTCCTGTGTGTTTCCATTGGTCAAGATCTTCATCGACATCATCAGCTTTTGTAATTTTTCCACAGCACAAGTCAAAGCAGAATAAAATGAGAAGTATTTCAGACTCATGGGCATTTGAGCTAAGGCTTGTTCTTGCCTGCACACTCCTGAAATTAATTTGAGTGAAGGCTTTTCAGAGCAACGGGAGAATGTGGAAGATGCAACCGGAAGGCAAATGAAATTATCAATTGCAGAGCGCAGAGAGGAATGCATCTGCCCCAGGCAGAGAAGTGAAGCCCAGAGAGCAAGAGAACACTCCTCCCACGTGAAAAATTCACCATCCCCTTTGTAAAGCATCTAGGGGCCTTTTTGGTTTACAGAGTAGTGAGACATTGGGCTTACGCCATGGCTTCAAAGATGGAAATTCTAGAAGCAACACTGAGTCGTAGTTTCTTGTACAGACGCAAAGAAGCACAAACACATCAGGCTTTCAAAACCACAAATGCAGCCTCTGAACTTAGACTGATGATTAGCAACACTTTTGCTATTAATGGTCACACAGGACACAGCGAGGAGCTTGGAGCACAGGGGCCTGAGATGCAGGTTTTATTCCAGCTCCACAGGCCTTTTCTGAGTGCGAATCTGAAACTTTCATTTCTCTACGGGATGATACATTCCCAAAGGGCAGGGACAATATCCTTTTCATTTTTACAATCTAACCCTCTCTCCACCCACACCTGACCTTCAACTCTACAGCCTCCAGTCCAGCACATAACACAGGGCTTTTATAAGAGTCTTAATAAATAATTTTTCTTGATACAAAGTCTCACTCTGTTGCCCAGGCTGGGGTGCAGTGGCGCGATCACGGCTCACTGCAACTTCTCCCTCCCGGGTTCAAGCGATTCTCGTGCCTCAGCTTCCCAAGTAGCTGGGACTAAAGGCATCCGCCACCACGCCCAGCTAATTTTGTATTTTACTAGAGATGGGATTTCACCATGTTGGCCACGCATAAATAAATTTTTTCAATTGTCTCAGAAAATAAAAATTATGCTTATAATTTTTATTTTTTGAGGTATGGCAGGTTTAGCAGAAAGAGAGAAAAATGCATCTTTGCAGAGACGAATTATTATAAACCATTGGTAGTTTTACAGTTCAGTCCATGAACTTTGAGACTATAATGTAGCTGCAACAATTTTGCAATACTTTTGAAATACCCACAATTCAACAAAACTAAAGGGAAATTTACCATGAAAGCGTCTATAATGCAATAATCAGTTAAAAACTATCAAATTAGAAAATGTCATGGATAAAGGAAGAATATTTGTGAAGATTCTGAAGAGGACTTGAAAACCGTAAAGAATGACTCTAGTATGTCGAATATTTTTAAAATACGACGTCACTTTCCCTTAATGTAAGTATGTACTCTGAAACCTATCAGCCACGATTGTGGGTGCTTTTAAATCAAACATTAAATGAAGAAAGGAAAAGAGAGAATTCTCAGAAGTAAACAGACAAGAGCTAGGAGAGCATTTGAGGAAGGAAGCAGATGACAGATGTTGTGTGAGAATGTGTAAGAACGTGACTGCATTAGAATGAACTGCGCTTTAAGCTCTCAGAGGGAGAGGAGTGGCTCATAGACTCCTAGGGAGCAGACAAACTGGGTAGGGAATTTCTCTCAAACCAACAACCAGTTAACGACAATGTCCAGAGGTACCAAGCCAAGGCAAAGTAGTCACCATTTGGAGGCGGAAATGGGTAAGGAGCACATATGAGCCTGAAGACTCAGGAAGGTTTGAGGAGGAAAACGTTGAACATGCATTACAGAAGTGTAGTGTATGTTTAAAAAGTAGGAAGCAGTCTTTTCCTACCCTGAGCTTCCACGGTTCAGTGGGGCTAAACCTCTCCCTGATCCCAGGAGGGAGCACGTGACACTTCCTGGGGCATAACCACCAGTTTTGGAGCTGGCAAATGGCCCCCGCCCTGCCATCTGGAGACGACTCCGGAACTCTTCCGGAGTTCTTTGGAATAAATGTTCTTTTTCTCCTGTGGTTAATTTTGGTGTAATGTAAACTCACACTGCTGGTGGTTATTTTAGAAACCATGTGGGGAAACCTTGCCTAAAAATAAATATAATCCAGAGGAAAGAGGAACTGAGAGAAAAGGCCAGTCTCACTCACATGTTTGCGGTTCCAGATCCAGGAGTTCCTAAATACAGCTGTATCCCGCAGTTCCTAATGATGTGTGCTAGTAAATTCCCCTCTCCATGCTCATGTCATTTGAATTGAGATTCTTCTACTTAAAATAAGAATATTCTACTCACATAAGGAGAGTCTGAGTTTGGATGTCTATATTTAAAAGAATGTCTATGAGACAAATTAAGTTCATTTCTTTTATTTTTTTTTGAGATAGAGTCTTGCTTTGTTGCCCAGGCTGGAGTGCAGTGGTGCAATCTCGGCTCACTGCAACCTCCACCTCCCAGGGTCAAGCGATTCTCCGGTCTCAGCCTCCCAAGTAGCTGGGATTACAGGCACACAGCACCACACCTGGCTAACTTTTGTCTTTTTAGTAGACTCAGGGTTTCACCATGTTGGCCAGGCTGATCTTGAACTCCCGATCTCAGATGATCTGTCTGCCTCGGCCTTCCAAAGTGCTAGGATTACAGGCGTGACTCACCATACTTTGCCATGGTCCCCTTTTAAATAGAGTCTGAACTTGCCATCTTCAGTGTCCTGAATATTTTTTTCTTTAATAATTACCACATATAAGAAAATCTTTAACATGAATGATAAAGACAAAAAAGTTTCAAAACAAAAGAAAATAAATATCCATGAAATCAAAACAAAATAATTTCCGCTTCTGTTACAGTATTGCTCATATGAGACCAACCCTTCCCAGTAGGAACACTGTAAAATCAGGGTAATTGTTTAGATGCTGCCGGAAGACACTGGAGAGTAACCAATGGATTGAGCGGCCAAAGGCAAGAAAAAAAATATGATGGCAAAATAATCTTTCTTTGTGCCTTTCCTCTGAAATGTGGGTCAATTAGATGTCTCGAATTAGAGGCTGAAAACCAGGCAGAAAGTCACCGCGAAGGGTTTGCAGTAGTCTCACAGAGCGGGGGAAACAAGACTGGAGGTCAGAGTTATCAAGACAGCCACGGTTTAGAGGGAGATGTTGAAGAACAGAAGACTTGTACAGGATTTAGTCTAATACTCTTCTAGACCGAAAAGCTAAGCAGAAAGCAACAACCAAAGACTCAAAAATAAAAAGTTTCAGCAGCCCTGTTGTGTTGAAAAAATACAAACTGGAGTTCACGGCCAGCTAGGGAAGGCTAGCCCTGCTAAACATCCCAGAGTGTGCCCCAGGAGTAAAGGCAAAATGGAAGTAGAGCAGATCTCACAAAGATAGAAACAGCCTCAAATCAACTCAATCCCTGGTTGGATCAAAGTGATCTACCATTCCCATAACTGCCTGCCAGAAGAAAATGAAATCCTTTCTAGAGGAAGCTATCATCCAATGGCTCTTAAATTTTTTATACTTAATATTTGCATTCCATAAAAATTATTAAAAAACAAGGAAAAATAAATAGAAATTGATACGTTAATAAATATGGATTTTTAAATAACTGCGATTAACGTGTTCAATTAAACAGATGACAATAGTTTCACTAGGAAACAGAAATTTATTTTAAATAAACAATCAGGCCAGGTGCAGTGGCCCATGCTTGTAATCCCAGCACTTGGGAGGCCGAGGCAGGCAGATCACCTGAGGTGAGGTCAGGAGATCGAGACCAGCCTGGCCATCATGTTGAAATCCTGTCTCCACTAAAAAATACAAAAAAAAAAAAAAAAAAGGCCAGGCACGGTGGCTCACGCCTGTAATCCCAGCACTTTGAGAGGCCTAGGCGGGAGGATCACGAGATCAGGAGATCGAGGCCATCCTGGCTAACACTGTGAAACCCCGTCTCTACTAAAAATACAAAAATTTAGTCAGGCATGGTGGTGGGTGCCTGTAGTCCCAGCTACTCGGGAGGCTGAGGCAGGAGAATGGCATGAACCCAGGAGGTGGAGCTTTCAGTGAGCTGAGATCGTGCCACTGCATTCCTGCCTGGGAGACAGAGCGAGACTCCATCTAAAAAAAAAAAAAAAATTAGCCAGACACAGTGGTGCATACCTGTAGTCCCAGCTACTTGGGAGGCTGAGGCAAAACAATCTCTCAAATTCTTTTGGGAATTAAAAATGGGAGGTGGAGGTTGCAGTGAGCCAAGATCGTGCCGCTGCACTCCAGCCTGGGCAACAGAGCAAGACTGTGTCTCAAAAAATAAAAAAATCACATAAAAATTTTAGTACTGAGAATATAATAACTAAAATAAGAAATTAAATAGAAAGGTTTAAGAGCAGAATAAATCCAATACAAGAGAATACTAGTAAAAAATAAGGGAGATTTAAATAAAATATTCTCACTGAATACACAAAGATTAAAAGGTAGAAAATACAGACAAGAGAATAATTTGTAGCCGTCTCTAAAATGCCAAGGATGCGTATTTTAATTTCTAAAATAATCACTAAAAGGTTAATAAAAGCATGTAATAATAACTAGCTAACAGAGAGAGGAAATTGAATAAAAAAACTTATTTTGGCCAGGCACTGTGGCTAATGCCTGTAATCCCAGCACTTTGGGAGGCTGAGGCGGGCGGATCACAAGGTCAAGAGATCGAGACCATCCTAGCCAACATGGTGAAACCCCATCTCTACTAAAAGTACAAAAATTAGTCGGGCGTGGTGGTGCGTGCCTGTTGTCCCAACTACTCAGGAGGCTGAGGCAGGAGAACCGCTTGAACCCGGGAGGCAGAGGTTTCAGTAAGCCAAGATTGCACCACTGCACTCCAACCTGGTGACAGAGGGAGACTACGTCTCAAAAAAACAAAACAAAACAAAAAAAAAACTTTTTATTATTGCTAGCTTATATCAGTAAACCCCAGAAACTCTTAGAAATTGAAATCATGCATGAGGCGACTGTAAAGCAGAAGTGAAAATGTGTCTAAAATCAGAAGGTTCCCAAATCCAAAACAACAGAATAACAAAAATAACAAACAGAAAAGAGAAAGAATAAAGAGAATACAGATAGTAATATGATATATTTATATCTATGACCCAAATATGGTAATAATTACATTTAGTATAAATGAGCTAAACTAGTAATTACAATAATTATAAATTACTAAGTTCTCCAAATTAAAAGGCAAAGATTAATAGACTACATTTTTAAAACAACTATATTATGCTTGCATATTTAAATATGGAAAATTTAAGTACACAGAGATGTTTGAAGTAAAATTATTGGAAAAGATGTATCATATAAGCATTAACCAAAAGAGAGCAGGTATAGCTGTACTAATATCAAACAAATTCGATGAACAGCATTAATAGAAATAAAGACATTTAAAGATTGTAAAAGAGTTGATCCTCCAGGGAGAAAAAAATTTTTAATTCCTTGCACCTAGCAACATAGCTCCAAAAGTAAAATAAAATAAAATAAATCCACAGACTGGGAGATTTTAATGTTTCTCTCTTGGTAAACGATAAAAGAGTCAGACAAAAAGATGCAGAGATATGAAATATCTGACAACACAATTGGCAAATTTGACCTACTCTACATATACTTAACACTGCACTTAATAACTATAGAATGAACTTTCTTTTAAAATGTATGTAAAACGTTTATCAAAAATTGATTATATGATGAGTCATTTAAAAAACTCAATAAATATCAAAGGATTGAATGATCTAGAACCTGTTTCACTACAGTGAAATGAACCTAGACATCACTAAAAAAAAAAGATAAATTCGAAGACTCCCATATGTTTCAGACTAAGAAATTATATTCTATATAACCCATGGATCAAAGAAAAACTTATAACAGAAGTTAGGAAATATTTTTAAGCTGATGACAATGAAAATATAAATTATTGTATAATGCAGCTGAAGTCATGCTTAAAGAGAAAGTTATCAATGTATATATATGTATTATAAAAGAAGAAAGTGGAAAAATTAGTGATATAAGAATGTATCACAAGAAATTAAAATAAAATGACAGTAAATTAAACTGACAAATATTAGAAAGAAGAAAGCATTTAAAACCAAGTACTGTGGCTCATGCCTATAATCCCAGCACTTTGGAAGGCCAAGGTCAGTGGATTGCTTGAGCCCAGGAGTTCGAGACCACCCTGGGCAACATGGTGAAACCTTGTCTCTACAAAAAATACAAAAATTAGCTAGGTCTGGTGGTGTATGCCTGTTGTCCCAGCTAAACAGGAGGCTGAGGTGGGAGGATCGATTGAACCTGGGAGGTCAAGGGTGCAGTGAGCTGTGATCATACCACTGCACTCCAGCCTGGGCAGCAGAGCAAGACTATGTCTCAGAAAAAAAAAAAAAAAAAGAAAGAAGAAAGCAATTAAAATAAGAACATAAATTAATAAAGTAAAAATAATTTCATATTAGAGAAAAAAATTACAAAAGCCAACAATTGACATTTTTGAAAAGACAAATAAGACTGATTCAACCCTGGCAATTCTGATTAAAATAAAAAGAAAAATAAATAATTACAAATATGCAGAGAAAAGACAGCCATCACTCAAGACATTAGAGATATTAAAAAGAGAGTAAGAAGATGTTATAAGCAACTTCATACCATTACTTAGAAATTTTAAATAAAATGGACAGTGATTGATTTTGGGTGTCACACTTGCCTGGATTAAGGGGTATCCTGGATTGAGGGGTACCGCACCCGGCCCGGACACCCTAGTCGTTGACTGACCAGGTTGCAACCTGTACCCATGATAGCGCCGGGAGGGGCCTGATAATGCACAATCCCATCAGGATGAGATGGAGTGCAGAAGGGGTTGTTGTCCAGAATGTCACTGGATGGACAAACCACAGTGCCCACCACGGAGGGCCATTTGCCTGTGGTCTGGTAAATTTATCAGCACTTGGAAGACTACCTAAAGGGAATTACATTTAGACATGGAATAATTAGGTGGAGATATATTCTTCTAACTTCCTGTCTAGCCAAGCACTTGTAAAAAAAAATCACTTAGTCATAAATGACCTAGCAAACCAAGAAAAAATATTGCTCAAATCATATCCTGTGACAGCTTTGTTGGAAATGCATAAACTGCATTTGGGACCTCTTGATGATCATTGCCTCAAAAATTTTTCATACTCCTCTGAGTCAGAGAAATCTCTCTTATCTAAACTAACTTATTTCATCGCATGTAAAAATTTGGATCTGTCATGAAATAATTATACTTAGGATGATGATGATCAATGCATACCCTTTTACAAAATGATGGCTATTTGCCAGGCACCTGTGAAGCTTATCACATGTGTTTTCTTACATAATTTTTTTTTTTTTGAGACGGAGTCTCACCTTGTTGCCCAGGCTGGAGTGCAATGGTGCGATCTTGGCTCACTGCAACCTCTGCCTCCCAGGCTCAAGTGATTCTCCTCCCTCAGCCTCCCAAGTAGCTGGGATTACAGGAGTGCACCACCATGCCCGACTAATTTTTGTATTTTCAGTAGAGATGGGGTTTCACCATGTCGGCCAGGCTGGTCTCAAACTCCTGACCTCAGGTGATCCACCTACCGTGGTCTCCCAAAGTGCTGGGATTACAGGCATGAGCCATCGCACCCGGCCCATGTTTTCTTACATAATTTCTACAAAAATTGTATAAGTTTAAAAATCCTCATTTTTATAAATAGGTTTGAACAAAGCACATAGCTTACCTGAGTTCACATTATGTCATTAATCAGGGGTTCAAACCAGATTTGCCTGTTTCTGCAGCCTGTCCTCCCACCTGCTCTACTATATTGACCTGATCTGAGCTGCAGTATGCCTGTATGAATGAAGGGAAATGAGACGTTGCAGCAATTACTCACAGAGCTGAGCATGTGTATATGTATGCATACACACATCTCCTATCAGTTCTATCTCTTTGGAGAACCCTAACTAAAACGTGACTTGAAAAACACAATTTAGCAAAAATGATGCAAGAAGAAATAGAAAAGTTGAGGGCTATTATTAATATATGCACTTAAAAAATTTAATTCATAATTTACAATCTTTTCCAGAAGCAAATTGCAGGCCCAGATGATTTCACCATTATATTCTTCCTACTATTTAAGGAAGAAATAACATCAATCTTACATGAAATCTTACAGAACAATTTTAAAAAGGAAAAAGTTGAAATGCCAACTCTTTTGATAACAGTGACATAGCCTGGGCTGGGCGTGGTGGCTCATGCCTGTAATCCCAGCACTTTGGGAGGCCGAGGCGGGTGGATCACGAGGTCAAAAGATTGACACTACCCTGGCTAACATGGTGAAACCCCGTCTCTACTACAAATACGAAAAATTAGCCGGGCGTGGTGGCTGGCGCCTGTAGTCCCAGCCACTTGGGAGGCTGAGGCAGGAGAAAGGCGTGAACCCAGGAGGCGGAGCTTGCAGTGAGCCGAGATCGCACCACTGCACTCCAGCCTGGGTGACAGAGTGAGACTCCATCAAAAAAAAAAAAAAAAAAAACCACAAGAAACATAACCTGGATACTAAAACCTAATAAGGACATTGCAATAAAAAGAAATATTACAGGTCAGTAATTCTCATGAACACAGGTGCAAAACAATACATAGAATAATAGTGAATCAAACCTAGTAATATGTAATAATACATAACCATGAAGTTGGTTTTATTCCAGGAATGCAAGATTGAGTTAAGATTAGAAAATTGATCAATGATATTATTCACATTAACAGAAGAAAAGAGAAAAAGAAAATAATCATCAACACAAATGTGCTGCAGGCAGTGGTGGTCGTGACACCCATTCTACAGCTAAAAAATTAGTGTGGGCCAGACGCGGTGGCTCACGCCTGTAATCCCAGCACTTTGGGAGGCCGAGGCGGGTGGATCATGATGTCAGGAGTTCAAGACCAGCCTGGCCAAGATGGTGAAACCCCGTCTCTACTAAAAATCCAAAAATAATTACCTGCGCATGGTGACAGGTGCCTGTAATCCCAGGTACTAGCTGAGAGGCAGAGAATTGCTTGAACTCGGGAGATGGAGGTTGCAGTGAGCTGAGATCACACCACTGCACTCCAGCCTGGGCAACAGAGCGAGACTACGTCTCAAAAAACAAAACAAAACAAAACAAAACAAAAAAGTATAAAAAACAACAACAACAACAAAACTAATGTGAAAATCACTGTCCTATGAAGTTATTAATAGCTTTGAATGACCTCATTATACTTCTTCCAACTGGCAGTTTACTTCCATTGTTAATGCTCATCTCTGTTTGATTACAGTACAACTCTGCTCACCTTTCTACCACCAGCATTCAATTGCTTTTTAAAGAATTGTAAGGAATAGAGCACGAGATCTGGAGTCTGAAGATTTAGAAAAAGTCACACAACTCTCTAAAATTGTTTCCTCATCAATGAAATAGAGGTACCAACACCTGCTTTGTTACACTGCAGGCAATGAATTGGAAAATGCTCAACTAATTATGAAGCACCTACAAATACTGTTATTGTTTTACCCTCCCAAAACTTAAATGGAGCAATTAACGGTGAAAGATATTGGGTTTCATTCAGGATACAACCCTCTTAATAAAAATACGTTTATCTATTTTACATATGGAAATTAAAAGTGCTTACCTTGCTAGATGGAAAATTGAATGAATACAAATGATCGGAATGATAACAGCTAAGTGAATGCTTTAGTTGAAAAATGATACCCCTAAGTCATCAAAGATGTCAAATCATCTCCCTCTCCAAAAAGAGTCACTCTCCACCCCACCCCCCATGCTCAGCTCTGTGAATAATTGCTGCAACGTCTCATTTCCCTTCATTCATGCAGGCATACTGCAGCTCAGATCAGGTCAATATAGTAGAGCAGATGAGAGGACAGGCTGCAGAAACAGGCAAATCTGGTTTGAACCCCTGATTAATGACATAATGTGAACTCAGGTAAGCTATGTGCTTTGTTCAAACCTATTTATAAAAATGAGGATTTTTAAACTTATACAATTTTTGTAGAAATTATGTAAGAAAACATGGGCCGGGTGCGATGGCTCATGCCTGTAATCCCAGCACTTTGGGAGACCACGGTAGGTGGATCACCTGAGGTCAGGAGTTTGAGACCAGCCTGGCCGACATGGTGAAACCCCATCTCTACTGAAAATACAAAAATTAGTCGGGCATGGTGGTGCACTCCTGTAATCCCAGCTACTTGGGAGGCTGAGGGAGGAGAATCGCTTGAGCCTGGGAGGCAGAGGTTGCAGTGAGCCAAGATCGCACCATTGCACTCCAGCCTGGGCAACAAGGTGAGACTCCGTCTCAAAAAAAAAAAAATTATGTAAGAAAACACATGTGATAAGCTTCACAGGTGCCTGGCAAATAGCCATCATTTTGTAAAAGGGTATGCATTGATCATCATCATCCTAAGTATAATTATTTCATGACAGATCCAAATTTTTACATGCGATGAAATAAGTTAGTTTAGATAAGAGAGATTTCTCTGACTCAGAGGAGTATGAAAAATTTTTGAGGCAATGATCATCAAGAGGTCCCAAATGCAGTTTATGCATTTCCAACAAAGCTGTCACAGGATATGATTTGAGCAATATTTTTTCTTGGTTTGCTAGGTCATTTTGCTAGGTCATTTATGACTAAGTGATTTTTTTTACAAGTACTTGGCTAGACTGGAACTTAGAAGAATATATATCCACATAATTATTCAGTGTCTAAATGTAATTCCCTTTAGGTAGCCTTCCAAGCGCTGATAAACTTACCAGACCCTAGGCAAATGGCCCTCCGTGGTGGGCACTGCGGTTTGTCCATCCAGTGACATTCTGGAGAACAGCCCCTCGTCCTGATGGGATTGTGCATTATCAGGCCCCTCCCCCCGCTATCATGGGTACAGGTTGCAACCTGGTGGTCAGTCAATAACTAGGGAGTCGGGGCTGGGTGCGGTGGCTCACGCCTGTAATCCCAGCAGTTTGGGAGGCTGAGGCAGGCGGATCACGAGGTCAGGAGATCGAAACCATCCTGGCTAACACGGTGAAACCCTGTCTCTACTAAAAATACAAAAAGTTAGCCAGGCATGGTGGCAGGCACCTGTAGTCTCAGCTACTCGGGAGGCTGAGGCAGGAGAAACATGTGAACCCGGGAGGCAGAGTTTGCAGTGAGCCGAGATCACGCCACTGTACTCCAGCCTGGGTGACAGAGCACGACCCTGTCTCAAAAACAAAAACAAACTAAAACAAAAAAACAAACAAACAAACATGACTAGGGAATCCATCTCCCCAGCAGGAAGAAACACATGATTTCAGTAGGGTCGACTGGTTTCTCTCACCCCTAATCAACAGAGCCTAATTAATGTACACATTGAATAAAACATTTTCCAGGGCATTCACTGCCTCTTAATGACTTGCATTCCTCCATTCTACACCGTTGTCCTAAAAAATTTTGACCAAAATATTTGGAAGATGATTTTCACAAAGGTTGGGCTACAGTCTCACATTAATTAGCTTGCTGGTTTAGTTTTTTTGTTTTGTTCTTCCTTGAAGTTAAGGTCACCCCAATGGTGGCATACCTTCATATCTCCTTATGTATACATCTTTTATTGAGCATAATAGACAGCACTGCAGAAGTACATAAATATTCAGCAGCAGTAGCAAATGTTAAAATTTCAAGTGGATTGCTATTTAACAATCACTCAAACACTAGCAAAAATATATTACGTTTTCAGTGTTTTTCTATTCATTTCTGAAAATGTATAACAAATGCATTCAGATACAACAATGGCTCTTTTCCACTTTCTGAAGTTTTGTACTCCAAAAAGTAATTCCCAGTCAATCTCACAGCCATTCTATGTTAGAGGAATTAGTGCCCCGACAAAGCAAGTAGAAACACTGAATTAGACTTTGATTCAATGAAATTATTGCTCAAAGACGATTGGTACTTGAGATGCATAACTGATCTGGGTTTACCAACTTAACCATCTTTGCAACTACTTGTCTGCCTTGTGAAAATATTTTCTTTATTTGTCATTAGAAATGTGACATTGGCTTGTAGTAAAAAGGAAATGAACAACACAGAAGTTTATGAAATAGAAAATAAAATTCTCCACCACATTTGATCCCCACTCCCCAGGGATAACCAATGGATTAATTTCAACCTCCTCACATGTTATTATTTTAATTCTGCCATTCAGATGCTGGTAATACGCAAATGAAAAACGCAATGCATAAGGTACCTCTGATGTAATAAACATGAAGGACGTATGGAAGCCAAAGAAAAAGTCAGTTACTCCATCAACAGGATCGGTGCAACAATAATTAAGAATTATTTGTCAAAAAATGCATATAGACTGGCCTTAAAATTGGGCAGCTTTGCAGTGTCACTTAGGATCGTTTCCTGTCGTAACGAAACCCAAGTCCAGCTGCAAGTGCAGCTACTCAGAGGTCAAAAACTCAAGAATTGAGGTATGCTGAAAGGAAGTAATTTTATTCAAAGGCTAGCAGCTGGGGAATGGCCAGATTCATGCCTTTAAAAGATCATTCCAAAAGTTACGCTGAGGAGAAGGATTTATACAGGGGAACTTGGAATGGAGGCATGTGAGATGGTGCTGGGTCCAAGGTCTGTGTGTCTTGTTCCAGCGGCCATCTTGAGTCACAGTTCACCTGGAGTATGGGCTCGCATCATCTCGACAATGGCTGGGTTGTAGACTAACTGCCTTAACGTGATCTCTGGAATTTCACAGCTAGGTCTCCATGCCTGGTTTGTCTCAAGATTAGCCCCTGAAACTTCTAAGAAAGCACGTACTTAGATAGGCTAGCAGTGCAAAGAAGTATCTGATGAGAAGGGAGGGAAGCAAAGAATTTTAAAGTATCACATATTTCAAGGCTAGTCTCAAACTCCTGACCATAGGTGATCTGCCCCTCTCGGCGTCCCAAAGTGCTGGGATTACAGGCTTGAGCCACTGCGCCAAGCCCAAAGGAAGACTCTTGGGAGAGGATGAGAAAAATTGGTACGTTTCTCACGTTTCCCGGGTTCATGACGCTCTCCTGCCTCAGCCTCCCGAGTAGCTGGGACTACAGACGTCCACCACCACGCCCAGATAATTTTTTGTATTTTTAATAGAGACAGGGTTTCACTGTGTTAGCCAGGATGGTCTCGATCTCCTGACCTCGTGATCTGCCCACCTCAGCCTCCCAAAGTGCTAGGATTACAGGCGTGAGCCACTGCACCCGGTCTAATCTCTTCTCTTATAGATGACCCAGCCTCAGGTATTCCTTTATAGCAACACAAATGGACTAAGAAAGTTTATGAATAATAATTAGAGAGATAAAACAGCTGCTATGCTAGGTCTCCTGACCATGTATCCAAATTATTCAGATGAACCACATGCATTCTATTAATGGGGGTTCACAAAACATGGTCACCGTGTCCAAGATATGCTAATTCATCACTATCAGCACTAATGAGTTTGTCTTCTTAGTACTTTTCAGAAAAAAGGCCATTGTCTTAGCCCTAACATCAAAGTGTCTTCCCTTCCCACAGCTGCCCACAGAGCTGCATAATGATTCTAATCATGTCCCCCAAAAGTGCATTTAGGATAATTCTGTTGCTAGGATTTGTCAACCAAATTGGCATGATCTGTATGCTATCAAAACCCTCTACACCATCATTAAAAGAACCCCAGGAAAAAAAATTGGCAAACTGAGTATATACAAAGATAATAAAACCAGCTTGGCCCCATTTAGCCTTTGCATTTCTAAGGTATTGTTTTTCATTGTTTCGGCTTCCTACACCCAGCTTTATACGTTAATGCAGGTTCTGAGGATGATTTTACATTTAGGGACTATGAGATAACACCAGAAGCGTAAGACCAATGGGAAATTAGATCAAACATTTGCTATAAGGAAAAAATCTGGCCGCAGTTGCTTGGTATCACATGTATCAGCAGCAGTTCTACTTCTAGAAGAAAATTATTTGAGATATTCAACAGTTTCATGCCACACAAGAGAATCTTGCATCTTATCTGTCAGCATGGAGTGTGGTCAGGCTGTACCGGTTCAGCTGGAAGTGAACTGGCACCATCTGGCCACAGAACTATCAGACTTATAAAGTAAAGGTTTTGCTTGTTTAGACTTTTAAATAAGAACAGCCAAATCCGTAAAGCAGATAATAGAGATACAGCTAACAAGTCAGTAATAAAAAATGTAACCAAATAAACTTTAGTGCTTACAGACATATTGAAAAGCACTGATTCTAAAGTCATCCTTTTTATACTCAAATTTTACTGTCACATTCCTCCCCTCACCTTCAATTAAATTCTTGAGAATAATAGCAATAATCCACAGGACACTAAAAAGAGTTCGCAGATGAGATTGCTCAGGGAAAATATTGGCCCAGATTGATCTGATTCAAAAAGCTCTGCTTCTGGAAACAACACTGAACATTCTGCGTTGACTTGCTAAAGGTCTCAGTGTCACATGGACAACCAGTCGCTGACACCCTTGTCTTATCGCCCCAGCCATCCCTGTCCATAGGGCAATATGCAAAGGGGACAAGGCATGTGACAGGTCCCTACTAGACAGAGTGGAAATCACGGGGGAACTGTGACATGCTAAGGGTTTCCCTGTAGAGACTGAAAGTGATCAGAAAGCCTCCTGGTGCTCATTACTAAAGAAATAAAATATTCAATAATACTTGTTAAAATAAAGAAGGAAGGCTTTATTCTGGAGACCATGGCTATAGGCATAGAGACCACTGCAATAGGATTTTGCAGTAGGGGAGAGAGACGGGGCTCACCTCCGAATACAGCATGAGCAAGTCGGAATGCACAGCCAAGGAGCAAGGTGGGGGCGAGGTCAGTGGGTGGAAAGTGACTAAGAGGAAACCGTAGGTCAGGGGGATGCTGTCTAAACCAACCTAACAGGATGCATGTTGAAAGCAGGCCAGGCTGATCAGACATCACCAGTGGGATGGCAGAGGATGGGCAACCCAATCCAGTATCATCAAGGGTGATCAGATACTGATGGTGGCAGGTTCTTAACTAAACTGACTTAGCAAGATTTTTGCAAAAGCTGATTTTACAAGGAAGTGCACAGATGGGCCTAGGAGAAGGTTTGGGAGCCTGATAAATATATAGCTAATGAAATAAATATAGATCATGAAAGTTGGGTCATGCAAAGAATCTTTGTCACCATGCTCTCCCAGAGTCTCTATTTTTATCAGTTTTTTTTTATTGTGGTAAAATATTCATAAGTATGTAACATAAAAATTACAATGTTCACCATGTTTAAATGTGTACTTCAGCGGCAGTGGGGACATTCACATCGGTGTACGACCATCTCCACCATCCATCTCCCCAACTCTTTCTTTCTTTCTTTCTTTTTGAAACAAAGTCTCGCTCTGTTGCCAGGCTGGAGTGCAATGGTACGATCTCGGCTCACGGCAACCTCCACCTCCCAGTTTCAAGCAATTCTCCTGCCTCAGGAGAATCTCCCTGCTTCCCAAGTAGCTGGGACTACAGGTATGTGCCACCATGCCCAGCTAATTTTTTTTTTTTGAGACGGAGTCTCACTCTGTGGCCCAGGCTGGAGTGCAGTGGCGCAATCTCAGCTCACCCCAACCTCCACCTCTCAGGTTCAAGTGATTCCCCTGCCTCAGCCTCCCAAGTAGCTGAGATTACAGGCCCGCACCCACCACACCCAGCTAATTTTTTGTATTTTAATAGAGACGGGGTTTCACCATGTTGGCCAAGACGGTCTCCATCTCCTGACCTCGTGATCCGCCCACCTCGGCTTCCCAAAGTGCTGGGATTACAGGCGTGAGCCATGGTGCCCAGGCTCCACAACTCTTTATTCTGCAAAACTGAAACTCTGCACCCATTGAACAGTAACTCTGCATCTCCCATCCCCCAGCCCCTGACAACCCCCATTCTACTTTCTGTCTCTATGGCTTTGACTTCTCTAGAGACCTCATCTAAGTGAATCATACAATGTTTGTTCTTTTGTGGCTGGCTTCTTTCACTTAGCCTGATGTCCTCAAGTTTCATCCGTGTTCCAGCTTGTGTCAGAATTCCATTCCTATTAAGGCCGATTAACATTCCATGGCATGTGTTTGCCACAGTTTGCTTATCCATTCATCCCCCCATGGACATTTGTGTTGTTTTTGCCTTTAGCTATTGGGAATAATGCTGCTATGCACATGGTTCATTTGGTGTTTTGTTTTTTTTTTAACTTTAAACTCTTATAATATGATGGCATGGATACTGAAAGCTTGTTTGGGAGGCAGTAGATTGTAGTGGTTCAGAGGATGGGCTCTGAGGTCAGACTAGCTTGAATCTCAGTTATGTTGCTTGGGAGCTGTGTGACCTGATGTCAGTTACCTAACCTCTCTGTGCCTTTGTTGCCTAATCCATAGCATACAAATTATCTTCATGTCTACCTCCTAGGGCTGTTGTAAAGTTGATAATGTAAGCAGAGTGCTTATCACAGAGGTTTGCACATGGTAAGCATTCAATAAATGTTAGCTGTTTTTTTGTTTTGTTGTTTTTTGTTTTTGTTTTTGTTTTTTTTTGAGACAAAGTCTCTTTGTCACCAAGGCCGGAGTGCAGTGGCACGATCTCGGCTCACTGCACCCTCCACCACCCAGGTTCAAGCGATTCTGTGCCTTAGCCTCCCAAGTAGCTAGGATTACAGCTGCCCACCACCACGCCAGCTAATTTTTGTATTTTAATAGACACGGGGGCGTTTACCATGTTGGCCAGGTTAGTCTCAAACTCCTGACCTCAGGTGATCCACCCACCTCGGCCTCCCAAAGTGCTGGGATTGCAGGCATGAGCCACCATGCCCCGCCGGCTGTTATTTTTAATATAGAAAAATTTTTAAATGCAAGCAAACAAATAGAAAAAAATTAAAATTACCCTTTATCCTGAAGATATTTCTTATTATAGATTTTGAGATTTATCCATGCTCACATTTTTTCTTACAAAAATTAAAAACCATAGACATTTTGGTTGACTCTGTCTTCTTGCTAACTATAAATTGTAAACTTCTTTGTGAAACCATTATTGTACTTTTAAATCATCACTTTTTTTATTTTACTTTTTTTTTTTTGAGACAGAATCCCGCTCTGTCTCCCAGGCTGGAGTTCAGTGGCGTGATTTCGGCTCACTGCAATCTCCGCCTTCTGGGTTCAAGCAGTTCACCTGTCTTAGCCTCCCAAGTTGCTGAGACTACAGGCGTAGGCCACCACGCCCAGCTAATTTATTTTTATTTATTTATTTATTTATTTATTTATTTATTTATTTATTTATTTATTTTTTGAGATGGAGTCTTGCTCTGTCGCCCAGGCTGGAGTGCAGTGGCACGATGTTTGCTCACTACAAGCTCCGCCTCCCGGTTTCACGGCATTCTCCTGCCTCACCCTCTCGAGTAGCTGGGACTACAGGCGCCTGCCACCACGCCCGGCTAATTTTTTTTTTTTTTTTTTTTTTTTTTTTTTTTTTGTATTTTTAGTAGAGACGGGGTTTCACCATGTTAGCCAGCATGGTCTAGATCTCCTGACCTCGCGATCCGCCCGACTCGGCCTCCCAAAGTGTTGGGATTACAGGCGTGAGCCACGACGCCCAGCCTTTACATCATCACTTTTAATGGCTGCATAATCCCTTTTGGGGAAGATTCCACAATTTATTTACCTGTACTAGGTCTCCCTCAGGTTGAGGTCCCCAGAAGCAGAGTCTGAGGTAGGGACACGCACCTGGAAGAAAGCAATTGGCAGGCAAGGGAGCAGGACACGGAGGCCGGCACCCAGCACAGGTGCGATCTCAGCAGAGCCCTCAGAAGGCAGCTTGAGCCTGAGTCCATGGGAGTAAGAATGCCTCGGAATAGCCCGAAGCCAAGGCAAGGATGCTGGGATTTGTACTCACTCCCCTGTGGGTTTCCTGTTCACTCTCCTGTGGGTTTTCCCGCTCACTGACCTGTCTGGTGTTGGATAAGACTCAGCCAGGGTCCCTTCCACATCTCTGCACACACAGACAAAGCTGGCGCGCGTAGCCTGCAGCAACTGATGCTACTGCTCGAGCAAAACTCACACCCAAGGACACGCACACACAAGAAATTCACCCCTGTGGTCAGGGGAGACCACCAGCATCATCCCCTCTAAGGACCCATACGTGAATCAAGTCTACTCCAACAAATGAATGTGTGCAGAGAATACACGCACGCCCAGCCATGGGTCCGTGTAACCCTTTTTCCATGAAACATCCAGAACACCTCCCATTTGCCAATTCCCATGTGGGGCTCTCTCTCACTCCCCTGGTTGCACAACCCCATGGGCCTCACAGCTCAGCTGCTTCTTGTCTGCAAGTGAAAGACGTCAGAAAGCCTGCGAGCCACGGACCGGAGAGCAGCAGTCAGACCACATCAGTGAATTACTGTAGTATCGATCCTCACAGCAACAATGTGGCAGCCTTAGTGGTATCTGCCTGGGTCGGTGAGTTACAAGTGCCAGCTACGAGCTTAGATGCTGTAAGAGTCCTTTCGGCTGGGCGAGGTGGCTCATGCCTGTAATCCCAGCACTTTGGGAGGCCTAGGCGGGCAGATCACGAGGTCAGGAGATCGAGACCATCCTGGCCAACGCGGTGAAACCCCATCTCTACTAAAAATACAAAAACTTAGCCAGGCGTGGTGGCGGGCGCCCGTAGTCCCAGCTACTCTGGAGGCTGGAGCAGGAGAATGGCATGAACCCGGGAGGTGGAGCTTGCAGTGAGCCGGGATTGCGCCACTGCACTACAGCCTGTGCAAAAGAGCAAAACTCCGTCCCAAAAACAAAAAAAAAAAAGTCCTTCCAGCCTCTGTAAGTAATCTGAAAAATACCCAGGAGGGACACTGTGGGAATTCCAGTTGGCATTCTTTTTTCATGTCGTTATTAAGCCTCTTTTAATACTTTATTTTAATACATTTTATCACAATGGTGGAAAGTAGAAAAGTATCTTTATTTTCTAGACTACTGGGAGTTGGAAAATGGAAAATGCCTTATACCCTGGCATTGGCTCTACAGGAGCCTCCTTGCCGGAGGGAAGAGGTGGGTTCATCTCAAAGAGAGGGATGTGTGCTTTTGATCCCCATGTTTCTGTCTAGCCCAGGCCTGAATGCCGACTACAAGCTAAGCAGGTTACATCATCTCCGTAAGCCTCCATTTCTTCAGCTGTAAAATGGGGGTAATTCACAATGTAATGTCTGCCTCATAAATTTGTCTTGAATACTAAGTGTGCAGATGTAAACGATTGAGCATAGTTCCTGGTGCACCGGAAACTTCCTCATCTGTAGGAGAAGACTTGGAGTTAATTGTATTCTAGTTAATTGTATTTTTGTTTTTGAGAGAGTCTCTCTGTCACCCAGGCTGGAGTGCAGTGGCACAATCTCGGCTCACTGCATCCTCCGCCTCCCGAGTTCACGCCATTCTCCTGCCTCAGCCTCCCTAGTAGCTGGGACTACAGGTGTCCACCAACACGCCTGGCTACTTTTTTATATTTTTTAGTAGAGACGGGGTTTCACCGTGTTGGCCAGGATGGTCTTCATCTCCTGACCTCGTGATCCGCGTGCCTCAGCCTCCCAAAGTGTTGGGATTACAGGCATGAGCCACTACACCCGGCTTCTAGCCTGTGATTCTGATTTCTCCTCTAATTCAGATAGATCATGTGTTCAGTAGGGTTTTGGCACCACCTATAATCATGAGAAATAGCAAAATAAAAGCCAGAGGTGTGCGGATTATTAAGCAAAAGCCCTGAGTGTCTGTTAGGCTCCCTCAGTGATCTGAGATGCAAAGTGCAGGGCCTCATCGGCGTTGAAGATGGAGATGGTTGGGAAGACAGTGAGCAGCCAGGAAGAGGAGCCCAGCCGGAGGGGAACTCAGAAGCCAAGTGCAGGGAGTCAGGGCTCCCCTGAAGTGGGGATTTGGGGAACAATTGACAAGACAGTCAGAACAATGCAGGCAGAGAACACCCCTTTCCCCCAGAGCCGTGGTTACTAAGGCAGGTGTCCCCCTTACAGGGCCCATCTGAAAGGTACATACTGGCACCTGCTACCTTCACTGATTGGTCTGCAAAATCCAACCATGGCTCAGAAATCAAACAACTGACTTACAGGCAACCTTTCCGATCATAACCCATTGTGAACTGAAGACCACACAAATATAAAAGCCAGTCCTCTCCACTAAGAAGTCAAAAGTCATTGTTTTCCAGAGATCAAAAACAAATTAAAAGCCAACATATTTACAGCTATTTTCCATTTGTAGAGGAGATAGAAGAAATTATTATTAGACAACTTTGCTCCACACTCCACCAAAGAAAAAATACATTCTTTAGTGTAATATATTTCTCAAGGTTAAAGAAAATACAGTTGAAAAATAATCTCTAAATTATTTCTAAAAATACAGCCTGTGTTTCTTTGTTTTCATCAGCATACCACTTCTGATTTATGTATTTTATCTGTTTAAATAAATAATTGAATTTAATACTGCACATTAATTTTTAATTCACAGATAGTAAATCCTTGTTGAATGCAGTGAGTTTCACTTCCAAACAGTAACAAAATCAAAATTTGCTGTGGGACTTAGCATATTAACTACAATAATCACACTTCTCATTTTCCTCACTTCTTCTAGACTTGCAAGACTGTCCCAGACTGTAAATGGAAAGAGGGGCCCACATGATCCTCTTCTTGTATTTCCTGTAAAATAAAATCAAACTCAGCCGGGCACGGTGGCTCACGCCTGTAATCCCAGCACTTTGGGAGGCCAAGGCGGGCAGATCACCAGGTCAAGAGATCGAGACCATCCTGGCCAACATGGTGAAACCCCCATGTCTACTAAAAATACAAAAATTAGCTGGGCGTGGTGGCACGCACCTATAATCCCAGCTACTCTGGAGGCTGAGGCAGGAGAATCTCTTGAACCCAAGAGGCAGAGGTTGCAGTGAGCCGAGATCGTGTCACTGCACTCCAGCCTGGCGACAGGGTTTATTGGGTTAAATAAAATTAAACCTAAATGTTATGTATGTTCTCAGGGCAGTATGCAGAGACTGTCTCTCGTTCCATCAGTTGATTCCCTGTAAACTGTCCAATTTTATCCAAGAGATTGACAGTGAGACCATTTTCCTATATTGTTAGACTTCCTCGTAGAGCATTTGTGTAACATTTCTTGTGACTTCACTAGCTTCTGAGTGAGAAATGTTTATAAGTAGGATTACCAATGCCTGATATCACAAATCTTAGTTGTTGGGGAAACTAATAAGGAAACCATACTCAATTTGTTTTATGAAACAGACAAAAGATTTAGTCATTCACTAAACAAGAATAAATTGTATGAACCAGCCTGATACTTCACTTTGAAGATATTTAATTGTTCAAATTCAAAGCAGCATTATCACGCCTAATACTGGGTAAGTATGCACACGTACGTGGCAGATATTATTTTTTCAAATTACAGCCAGAAAGGGACAATATGAGGAAAAGCAAAGAGAGCGTCATCCTGCTGTTGATTTATGTATCTGTCTCAGTCATTCGGGGCTACTATGACAGAATCCCACATACTGGCTGGATTAAACAACAAACATGTATTTCTCAGAGTTCTGGAGGCTAGAGGTCCCAGGTCAAGGTGCTGGCTGATTCAGTGTCTGGTGAGGGCCTGTGTCCTGATTCATAGACAGTGCCTCTCACTGCCTCCTCAAGTAGCTGAGAATGAGTGTTCTTGGGGCCTCTTCTTACAGGGCACTCATCTTATCATCAGGATTCCACCCTCACAACCAATCACCTTCCTAAGGCCTCTCTTCCCAGGACTTCGGCATATGCATTTGGCATTGTATTTTTGTAGAGACAGGGTTTTGACATATTGGCCAGGGGACACAAACATTCAATCCACTGCATTATGATTTTCAAATTACTATTGTTTAAACATATCTTCTCTATAGATGAACTTTTACTGCTTTTGCAAATAATATATGTTGCATGTCCAGGCAAAAAAAAAAAAAAAAAATGCTACAGGATCAGAATATGGTAATATTTAAAAATCCAGGATTCTCCATGTGCAAAATGTATGTTTTTAAAAATATTTTGGGACAAACTAGCCTAACAAGATGTTGCATTGCAAAAAAATAAAATATTATAATCACAAATTATTCCCCATCCCTCATTTCCCTCCCTGATATTTCACCTTCTCTACACCCAGGAACAAGAGTTGATTTTTCTGGCTTACCATTCTATTGTCCTATTATTCTAGGCTGTGGGAACGTAACTGTGGAAAGAGAGTGAAAGAAAACTCAGGAAGTAGGCTCCAAAGAACAAGCGTGTTCTAAATAGTACAATGCTAAATCAGAAGGATGCACAAGGGCATTAGTACCAACTATTGTGAGTCAGGACACTCATGATCTTCATGCTCTAACCAGCTTATAACACCAACCACAGACGTATCTGCCCTCTGTCAAACCCATCCCTGTTGGGAGGCCTGGAAACCAAAGAAATGGTGACAATAACACCTGTGACTTGGCCAGGCACGGTGATTCAAGCCCGTAATCCCAGCATTCTGGGAGGCCAAGGCGGACAGATCACGATGTCAGGAGTTCAAGACCGGCTTGGCCAATATGTCAAAACCCCATCTCTTCTAAAAATACAAAAAAACTAGCCAGGCATGATGGCACGGGCCTGTAATCCCAGCTACTCAGGAGGCTGAAGTAGGAGAATCTCTCGAACCCAGGAGGCAGAGGTTGCAGTAAGCTGAGATTGCACCACTGCACTCCAACCTGGGCAATAGAGGGAGAATCCGTTAAAAAAAAAAAAAAAAAAAATCTTGTGACAGACAGAATCATGTCTTCCCAAAGAAAGCCTGTGACAAGGTCATCTTACATAGCAAAGGGTACTTTACAGGTGTGATTAAATGAAGGACCTCGAGAGGGGAGATGATCCTGGATGATCCAGGTGGGCCCAATGTCCTCACAAGGGTCCTTACATGGAGGGTCACAGTCAGAGAAGGAGATGTGACCACAGAAGCAGAGGTTTGGGCAAAGAAGAAGCCATGAGCCAAGGAATACAGGCAGCCTCTGGAAGCTGAAGAAAGCAAGGAAACATTTTCCCCCAGAGCCGCCAGAAGGAACACTGCCCCGTTGACACTTTTACTTGCCCCACTAAAACCCATTTTGGACTTCTGACCTCCAGAACTTTAAGATAATAACTTTGTGTTGTTTTAAGCCACTAAATTTGTGGTACTCTTTCACAGCAGCATTAGAAAACTCATAGAACATCCAAAGTTTCAAGGAAGTTGAGCTGGACAGGCATCCTTTGGAAAGTTTGCTTGGGGTGATCTAATGTTGCATGACATCCCTGATACCTGAAATGGCGTTAGGTATGAAGTATTCCTGGACACGACCTGCAGTTACTCCACCACTGGCCTGTCCCCAAGCCTTACAGGGAAGGACTTGGACCCATTCAGAGGCAAAACAAAAGACTTTGTTTCCTTTGTCCACTGGCCAGTGTCCGATGCGTGCCCATATAAAACAACAAGAATCACGGCCAGTTCCCCCTTCACTTACTTTCTTCAAGAAACATGTATGACGCATCAGTGGTCCACGTGGCCCCGTGCTTAGTGATGCAAGGGAGGCAAAAACAGGTAAGTCCTGGACACTGGCTGCAAGGAACTTTTTGTTTCACAGGAGAAAAGGGTCATGAACATAAGGAACCACAGTGCAAGGGAGACATTGCTCAGTGCCAGCCGGGAGGTGAAGAGTAAGAGTTTAAACATTCAAGAAAAGCAATGTCAGTGCTCAACACGGAGCACATGCCCAGTAACTAGATGAGCTGGCATTCTAGCTGGAAAAGCCCAGGGTGAGTCACAGAAGGAAGCGGACTTTGACCTGGGTACTAAAGAATGGGAGGGTTTCGGAGGCTGAGGCAGGAGAATCACTTGAACTCAGGAGGCGGAGGTTGCAGTGATCCCAGATCGCACCACTGCACTCCAGCCTGGATGACAGTGCTAGACTCAAGAATGGGAGGGTTACTTAAATGAGAGAAAAGAGCATTCTATGGAGCACAGAATAAAGATGAAAACAGAAAAGATGCACGCATATAAGAAATGCGCACCAGATTTAAGATCCATGGGAGCAGGCGTTTTTGTCTGATTTGTTCGCCCATCTACTCTTTATGCTTAGGATAGTGCCAGGCATTAGGAAGCTCTCCAGAAATCTTTTTTCTTCTTTTTTCTTCTTTTTTTGTTTTTTTGAGACAGAGTCTCGCTCTGTCACCCAGGCTGGAGTGCAGTGGCATGATCTCAGCTCACTGCAACCTCCGCCTCCCGGGTTCAAGCCATTCTCCTGCCTCAGCCTCCCAAGTAGCTGGGACTACAGGACCCGCCACCACGCCCGGCTAATTTTCTCTATTTTTAGGAGAGATGGGGTTTCACCATGTTAGCCAGGGTGGTCTCGATCTCCTGACCTCGTGATCTGCCCGCCTCAGCTTCCCAAAGCACTGGGATTACAGGCATGAGCCACCGCGCCCGGCCACAAGTCACTGGTTTGTTTTTTTTTTTTTTTTTTTTTTTTGAGATGGAGTTTCGTTCTTGTCGCCCAGGCTGGAGTGTGCAATGGCGCGATCTCAGCTCACTGCAACCTCCGCCTCCTGGGTTCAAGCCATTTTCCTGCCTCAGCCTCCTGAGTAGCTGGGATTACAGGTGCCCACCACCACACCCGGCTAATTTTTGTATTTTTAGTAGAGACGGGGTTTCATTATGTTGGCCAGGCTGGTCTCGAACTCCTGAACTCAGGTAATCCACCTGCCTTGGCCTCCCAAAGTGCTGGGATTATAGGCATGAGCCACCGCGCCCGGCCCACAAGTCACTTTTAAATGAGAAGCTGTATCCTGAGTCATACAAACATTCTCCAACTTTGAATTAAAAATATAGATGTGTACACAAACTTAAATTATATATGTATACATATATATATACACACACACACACCCACACACACATATATATATATGAAAAAGAGAGACAGAGGGAATATTCTATGAAGATTCATGAGATTCACATGTATGGATCTATGCAGAATACATGGAATGCATGGATCTTAGTAGTAGTTATTTCAAGCACAGTGCCTGGCACATAATAAATACTTTACGTTTGTTGATTGTTTAATATTGGATATTTTCCCCTCTATTCTCTTCTGTTTCTTCTATTTTTCTCTTAAGAATAAGAACATGGGGCCAGACGCGGTGGCTCATGACTGTAATCCCAACACTTTGGGAGGCCAAGGAGGGTGGATCACAACCTCAGGAATTCGAGGCCAGCCTGGCCAATACGGTGAAACCCCTGTCTCTAATAAAAATGCAAAAAAATCAGCCGGGCACGATGGCGCATGACTGTAATCCGAGCTACTTGGGAGGCTGAGGCAGGAGAACTGCTTGAATCCAGGAGGCAGAGGTTGCAGCGAGCCGAGATCGCACCACTGCACTCCAGCCTGGGCGACAGGGTGAAACTCCAACTCAAGAAAGAAAAAAAAAAAGGAATAAGAACGTGATTTCTTTTACAGTTAGAAAATTTAATGATTATAAAAACATATCAAGAGATGCCTTTCAATGTCATACGTTCATTTCCATTCACCTCTGTCCTGTGCAAATGGGAGTGCTTCTAGAAGGGAGCTTCTGCCGCTGTTGAAATGAGTCCATCCCCAGGGGGTCTGTGGCATTGGTGATCATGCTAAAATAAAAGGAAAACGCTAAGTGCCAGAGTCTGATCTTCCTCCACATCCCTGTAAGCCAAGTTCGCTTTGATGTTAAGTGCCAGCTGTGTGTTTGGATCAGCCTGAGAGGCACAGAGCAAGTGACGCCTTGCACTCTTTGTTCTTTCTCCTGTGGTGCTGGAGACGTCCCGTCCACAGGAGATGGCCCAGCCTGGGGGAGATGCAGATGCTGGGGGGAAGCACATGCACTGGCGATATGCAAATCACTTCAGAGTTACACAGGTCGAGGTCATGATCAAATTACGCTTCCCAGCATAAACATTTTTATTCTCAATATTGATCATTAAAGTTTTTCAATTTTCTTAGTACTTCTTTCCTAACAGTTCACCTTACCAAAGCACAATATGCAGATATTACGGATAAGAGAAACTTTCTCCCAGATTCTCCCCTTCAGCAAAGAGGTCAACAGTATCCGTGTCCCCTACTCAAATTGGAGCCATGCTTAGATTTCACCATTGCCAGTCCAAAAAGGGGTTTCACCTTCCCGTTGTTACAGAAGAGCGGTTCTCTTTGTCTGTCTTCTCCAACCATTTATATTCCTAATGTAATATAAAGCACACAGTTCAGGTAAATATTCTTGTCAGAATGTAACTCACTTTGCTCTAACTTGAAAGCCAGGTGAAATATGGCCATGGGCAAAGGGCTCCATCTTTCCTTTTTTTTTTTTTTTTGAGTCAGAGTCTCGCTCTGTCTCCCAGGCTGGAGTGCAGTGGCATAATCTCGGCTCACTGCAACCTCCACCTCTTGGGTTCAAGCGATTCTCCTGCCTCATCCTCTCAAGTAGCTGAGACTACAAGTGCACACCACCACCCCAGCTAATTTTTGTATTTTTAGTAGAGACAGGGTTTCACAATGTTGGCCAGGATGGTCTCAATCTCTTGATCTCATGATCTGCCTGTCTCAGCCTCCCAAAGTACTGGGATTACAGGCATGAGCCACCGGGCTCAGCTGGGCTCCATCATTCAAAAGTGTATTATCTGAACCTGTGTGACAGTTAATTTTGTGTGTCAATTTGGCTGACCCACAGTGCCCAAATAGTTGGTCAAAAATTATTCTGGGTGCTTCCATGAGGTTGCTTTTGAATGAGATTAACATTTAAATTAGTGGACTTTGAGTAAAGTAGATTGCCCTCCGTAATGCAGGTAGGCCTCATCCAATCAGCTGGAGGCATAAATTGAACCAAATGACTGGCCCTCCCCAAGCAGAAAGGAATTCTCCCGCAGACTCTAACTGCACCATCAGTTCTTCTGGGTCTCCAGTTCCCAGCCCACCCTACAGAAATGGACTTGCCAGCTCATTTCAACAGCAGCAGAAGTTTGGTTCTAGGAACACCCCCATAACTGTGTGAACCAATTCCTGGTAATAAATATCTTTTTAGATATAGATGATTAGATATAGATATAATAGATGGAGATAGATATCAATGATATGGATATAGATATTGATAGATTTTAGATATATATAGATCATATATATACAGATACAGATGATATTAGATATAGATGATGTAAATATAAGTTATATAGATATAGATAGATATAGATACAGATGGATATAAAGATACAGATATATCTCCTGTAGGTTGTGAAGAACCCTGATTAATACAGTGTGCCACACATACTTTCTGGATTCCCTTGCTTTGTGTCCTTGGCAATGCCTGCAGACCCCAATCTTAGATTGTCATTCAACTCACATCTTTGCACAGACTCTGTCTGCTTTTTGACTACCTCGTCTTCTGACCTACCTTGGTCTCTACCTGTGTTTGCCTTGGTGGCTGCCCCATCTCATATATCTGACCTCAGCTGAGCCCAATTTTCTGCTCCAATACTTCATCTCGCATAAAATAGGATGAACCAATAAGGTACATCAAAAGAGAGATTACATTTCTAGGAGCCAACCCACATGCTGATGCATATCATGTCCCTGTGGTATTCAGACTTTCTATCTGCCATTAAATGAGAGTCTCATATCTGTTTCTTATTTGGATCCAAATACACTGTGGTAGTGGCTTCCTCGGCACAGAATCTGACTGTCCATTTGTAGCGTCCTGCATGATGCTATGCAGAAATGCAGCATGTCCCAGAAAAGACGATCCGATAGTCCTGTCTGAAGATGAGGCCTCAGAGGGAAATGACCCCTACAATAATGACTTTAGATGCTTTTACACAGAATTTCAGTGCTTCAAGGATTTTCCAGTGCTGACATTTTTGTCTTCATAACACAGAAGACTTTTCTGTTTTTGCTTTGTTTTGTTTGCACTTTAGTAACTATAGAAACAATTGTATAAATTTTCATTAGAATGAGCAGAGTGTCAGGGTTAGGCAAGTTAATTGTACTAAAAATTATACACTGATTATAAGAGGGATAAATGCAAGCATAGGCCGGGGGTGGTGGCTCATGCCTGTAATCCCAGCATTTGAAGAGGTTGACGGAGGTGGATCACTTGAGGTCAGGAGTTTGAGATCAGCCTGGGCAATATGGCAAAACGCTGTGTCTACTAAAAATACAAAAATTAGCCAGGCATGGTGGTGGGCACCTGTAATCCTAGCTACTTGGGAGCCTGAGGCAGTAGAATCACTTGAACCTAGGAGGCAGAGTTTGCAGTGAGCAGAGATCATGCCACTGCACTACACCCTGGGCAACAGAGCAAGACTGTCTCAGTAACAATAATAATAATAATAATAATAATAATAATAAATAAATAAAGTTTTTGAGCTCAGGAGTTTGAAACCAGCCTGGGTAACAGAGATCCCATCTCTATTATGCTACATATATATGATATATACATATATATACACACACACACACATATATGATATATATATATCTCTATAAATCATAAATGGTTAGTTATTCACAAAAGCAATGATTTTTCCACGGCTTACCACTCAGGGATAAATACAGAGTTTAAATAAAACATTTTATTTTAAAAGTACTATGTGTGAGGCCGGGCGCAGTGGCTCACACCTGTAATCCCAGCACTGTGGGAGGCCAAGGCGGGCAGATCATGAGGTCAAGAGATCGACACCATCCTGGCCAATATGGTGAAACCCCGTCTCTACTAAAAATACAAAAATTAGCCAGGCGTGGTAGCGCACGCCTGTAGTCCCAGCTACTCAGGAGGCTGAGGCAGGAGAATCGCTTGAACCAGGAGGCGGAGGTTGCAGTGAGCCGAGATCATGCCACTACACTCCACCCTGGTGATGGAGCGAGACTCTATCTCAAAAAAAAAAAAAGTACCATGTGTGACTTTTTTGCTTAGTTAACAAATACTTATTGAGTATCTTCTATATGTAACCAAAAATAAATGTACCTTTCCTAAGTCTGGCTGAATGTGCGTCATACATAAAACCTAGTCTTAAATAATATAATTAGATAATCCTTATCATCATCTTCATCAACACCAAGTTACTCTTGCAAAAAAGGGAGGGGGAGGACTTATTGAAAGAATGCTTGACTAACATTCTAATCCTGTCATGTCCTTGCCTTTCAAGTAATCAAGCACATATATAAATTATAATATCATATTCGAGTGTACTTCCTAACTTGCTCTCTATGGGAAATTTCATCAGAGCCACGTATATACTAATCTATGCTACTTGGCTGAATTAAACCAAAAAGAAACACTTTCCAGAATCTCAATACCTGTTATGGATCTAAAATTGCAATGGTACATACTACACAAATAATATTCCTCAAGCCATACAGTCAATAGGCCCAGAAGAGCCCATAGGATTCCTGTAATAAACTACGGACTCAATGAGATAGCTCAGGTTTAAGATAAAGGGTAATAAAGATTCATGACCTGATAGAATAGTTTTACCTGAGGTGTCTGCAGGTTCTGAAGGGCAGGTTTGCACATAATTAAATATCAAGGAGTGCAGGGCACTCTGCATGCCTCCTCCTCTGTCTCTTCCTCCACCTGACCATTGTTGGAATAAGATTATGTCTCAGAAGCAACCATCTATTCCATGCGAATTCTTTTCCCTCCAGCAGAGTGAACAAAAACTGACGTGGAAACCCAGATATAACAGAGTCGGGATTACCCGGGAAGGTTCAGCGTCTGAGTGTGCGGCTGGGTCCCAGTGGATAACGTTATCTATTACTTAGCTAAACTGGCTGATAGCTCCACTCATAGGCTGAGGCAAGAAGCTCCAGAAGTTCTCCCCATCCCCCTCCATGGGCCCAGGGCACTTTTTCCAGATTCTCCTCCAGCACAACTTCCCCACTGCTCCCAATTTTTTCTGTGGTGTTGTTCTTATTCACTGCCCCCTCCCTTGACACTCCCGACTGACTGTGCTTGCAAGCCTGGCGTCTTCATGAGATCTCAACTTCAGCACCCTTTTGTTTTGTGTCTGGTGATGGGCTGGCCTTTCCCATTTCAAGGCTCTTCCTAAGCTCCAGAAACTCCACATTGCCTGTGAGGAAGAATGGACAGCCAGGAACAGGTGACGAATGATATATCTGTTTAATACTCAAGTTCCATGTCCCAGACCCGTATTATTAAACTGGGTTCCCATGGAGTCCTGGGGTTATGTTCAGGTGTTTTAGGGCACTGAAAAAGGGATATTGACCTCTACCTCACACCCTGTGTTAGTCAGGGGTCTCCAGAGTAACACAGCCAATAGGATGTGTTTATAAATGCAAAGAGGTTATTATAAGGAATTGGCTCATGCTGTTATGGAGGCTGGCAAGTAAATATCTGCACTGTGGGCTGCAGGCTGGACACCCAGGAGAGTCAAGGGTGCAGAGGGAGTCCGAAGGCAGACTGCTGGAGGAATCACTCTTGCTCAGGGAGGCCAGATTTTGGTTCTGTTCAGGCCTTCAACTGATTGCATGGGGCCCACCCACACTTTAGAGGGCCATCTGCTCTACTCAAAGTCCACTCATTTAAATATTAAACTCATCCCAAAACATCCTCTAACTTGACACATAAAACTAATCATCACACACCATAATATTGCAGATCTAAAATGAAAAGGCAATAAAGCATTTTTTAAAAATAGACTCTTTTCTTGCCTGTGTGTTAGAGAAATATATTAAACAAAACACACACCAGGCCGGACGCGGTGGCTCATGCCTGTAATCCTAGCACTTTGGAAGGCCAAGGCGGCTGGATCATGAGGTCAGGAGATCGAGACCATCCTGGCTAACACGGTGAAAACCCGTCTCTACTAAAAATACAAAAAATTAGCCAGGCGTGGTGGCAGGTGCCTGTAATCCCAGCTACTCTGGAGTCTGAGGCTGGAGAATGGCTTGAACCTGGGAGGCGGAGCTTGCAGTGAGCCAAGATTGCGCCACTGCACTCCAGTGTGGGGGACAGAGCGAGACTCCGTCAAAAAAAAAAAAAAATCAAAAAAGATGTAATGCAAAAAGAAAAAACTGAAAAACTGTATTATACTACTGTACATGAAAATTGAGAATTCCTGTCCCCCAAAAGACACCATTAGAGAGTAAGAAGGCAAGGCACTAGATGGGATAATTCATTTTCCAATAAATATATCCTATAAAGTATTCACATCCAGAAGATTTTTTTTAAGTATCTGTGAATCAGTGAGAAAAAAATAGACACCCCGATAGAAGAAATGGGCAAATTACTTGAACAGGCACATCACAAAAGTGGTTACATAATTGGCAAATAAATACCATAATGTGCTCTTACTGCCCACTACCAGAGGGGTTAAAATGAACGAGTCTGAAAATTTCAAGTCTGAAGAGCGAAGAAAGCTCTTTCACAGGGGTGAAAACGTAAATTGATACAACTGGTTTTGGAAAAAGGTTGTTATGTACAAGCAAAGTAGCATATTTGTATACCCTGTGACATAGAAATTCAACTTCTCTGTATAAATTCAACAGCTAGCAGATACATCTGTATCAAAAGACTTGTATAAGAATGTTGATAGTAGCAGTTTCATATTTACTGAAAAACTAGAAATAATCCAAATGCCCAATAGCAGAATGGAGAAATAGATGGTGGTATATTTCAATGAGAATAAAATGATCTACAGCCACAAGCAGCACCTAAATGAATCTCACTACCACAAATATGAGTGAAAGAAGCCAACACAAAAAGAGGAGCTACTGCATGCTTACCTTTATAAATAAGTTCAAAAGCAGGGAAAAATGTATCCATGTTGTTAAAAGTCAAGAGCAAGGCTACCCTTGATGGAGACGGATATTGACAACAGAGGCTCCGGGAGGCTTCTGGGGTTCTGGAAGTGTTCTTTTTCCTGATGTGGTCACAGGTCTCACGGGTGTAATTTTTTAATTAAAAAATGCAATAAACGGCTGGCCGCAGTGGCTCACGCCTGTAATCCCAGCACTTTGGGAGGCCGAGACAGGTGGATTGCCTGAGGTCGGGAGTTTGACACCAGCCCGGCCAGCATGGTGAAACCCCGTCTCTTCTAAAAATACAAAAATTAACCGGGAGTGGTGGTGCGCACCTGTAATCCCAGCTACTTGGGAAGCTGAGGCAGGAGAATCGCTTGAACCCGGGAGGCGGAGGTTGCAGTGAGTGGAGACTGCACCATTGCACTACAGCTTGGGCAACAGAACAAGACTCCGTTTCAAAAAAAAAAAAAGCAATAAACTATATTTATGATTTGTGCATTCTTCTCAAATTTTTTTGGTGAAATAATCCATTTAAGCATTATTATAGAACACAGGGCAATAAATGATATGTTACTAGAAGAAAAAAAGACAACAGAAAGTCTTCCTAAATTGAAGTTAGTTTACTACTATCACTTCCTTAAACCCACAGGGCCTGTCATTCTGTCATGGAACCGTTACAATGCGAAGCAAAATTGAAATAATTTGCATGCAAACAGTAGGCAAGGTTGATAAGGCATCCTGTGTTGATTCTGCTGATCAATGCTGACAGGTGAGTTAAAGTACTTCTTAGTAACTCCATTTTATTGTTTTATTTATTTTAATAAGGCAACAATAAAAAATAATAAAGGACCATTAATAATTTAGTAATACATTTTTCTGGGGATAAGAAAGTCTTCGATGGACTTAATTTTTAAATGACATTTATAAATCACCTAATCGTTTTATTCTAACTGGTGCCAAGAGTGAAAATGCCTGTGCTTCTGCTTATTTCAGTGAGTCTAATTCATCCTAGATAAAAGGGAGATCAGGTTAGATACTAAAATGTCAGAGAGAGGGTAAGACAAACTCACAGCCCTTAAAGAAAACTCTGTGGAAACTGAGACCTTCAGGAAAATCAGACATTAATGCAGATGAAGAAAATCAAATTCAGAGACCTGCCACATTTTTAAAATTTTAATATAATGTATTTGACTGTATTTTATGATAAAATGTGCGTAACATAAAATTTACAATGGTGTCCATGTTTGAGTATACAGTTCAGTGCCATTAGCTACCATAACATTGTACAAGTATCTCCACCATCCATCTCCAGAACTTTTTTTTTTTTTTAGAAACAGGGTCTTGCTCTGTTGCTCTGGCTGGAGTGCAGCAGCACAATCATGGCTCACTACAGCCTCGACCTCCTAGGCTCCAGAAACCCTCCCACTTCAGCCACCTGGGTAGCTGGACTACAGATGCATGCCACTGTGCCTGGCTATTTTTTTTTTTTTTTTTTTTTTTTTTTGAGACAGAGTCTCGCTCTATTGCCCAGGCTGGAGTGCAGTGGCGCGATCTCAGCTCACTGCAAGCTCCGCCTCCCGGGTTCACGCCATTCTCCTGCCTCAGCCTCCCGAGCAGCTGGGACTACAGGTGCCCGCCACCACACCCAGCTAATTTTTTGTATTTTTAGTACAGACGGGGTTTCACTGTGTTCGCCAGGATGGTCTCGATCTCCTGACCTCATGATCTGCCTGTCTCGGCCTCCCAAAGTGCTGGGACTACAGGCGTGAGCCACTGCGCCCAGCCTATTTTTTTTATTTTTTTAGAGACAGGGACTTGCTACATTGCCCAGCCTGTTCTCGAACTTCTGGGCTCAAAAGATCCTCCCACCTCGACCTCCAAAAGTGCTGGGATTACAGACATGAACACTGTGCCCAGCCTCCACAACATTTTCATCTTGCAAAACTTAAATTCTATACCCACTGAACACTAACATTCTCCTCATCTTCCTCCAGCCCCTGGCAACCATCATTTCACTTTGGTCTCTATGAATTTGACTACTCTAGGTACCATATAAGTGGAAACATACAGAATTTGCCTTTTTGACTGGCTTATTTCATAATGTTCTCAAGGCTTACCTATGTCATAGCACATGTCAGAATCCCATGTCTTTTTAAGGCAGAATAATGTTCCATTGTGTGCATAGAACACATTTTGTTTATGGTTTCATCAACCCAGGGTTGCTTCCACCTTTTAGCCATTGTCACACATCTTTAATTTGAGGGTTTTTTGTGATCAAATAAAGATGGCCACATATTCTTTATCACTCCTCTCATCAACAGGTGGGATTGGGCCACGAGCGGTGGCTCATGCCTGTAATCACAGCACTTTGGGAAGCCAAGGTGATTGGATCACTTGAGGTCAGGAGTTCAAGACTAGCCTGGCCAACATGGCAAAATCATGTCTCTACTAAAAAAAGAAAAAAAGAAAAAATATATTAGTCAGGCGTGGTGACAGGTGCTTGTGATCCCAGCTACTCAGGAGGCTGAGGCAGGAAAATTGCTCAAATCCAGGAGACGGAGGTTGCAGTGTGCCAAGATCACGCCATTTCACTCCAGCCTGGGCAATAGAACAAGACTCTGTTTCAAAAAAAAAAAAAAAGTGGGATTGATGTTCTCTGCCCTGAAATCCGGGTAAGCTTTATGACTGTTTGGCCAATGTAGGAGAGCAGAAATGAAACTGGGCTAGTGTCTGTGTCCAGGCTTAAAACGCTGACAGCCTCCTTCCTTCTCTCTGAAGACCACAATGCTGGAGAGACCGCAGATGTGTGTCCCGTCCTCTGTGCCAGTTGAGCCCTGCATTCCAGCCATCCCAGACAAGATGCCAGACATGGGAAGAAAGACACCTGGGACCCGCTAGACCAGCTAGATGTAGAAGAAAACTCAGTCACTGTCACCAGTAGCTGAAGAGTCACCAAGCTGACCTGTGCTCAAATTTCTGGCCCGCAGAATCCTCAGATATGATAAAATGGTTCTTTGAAGCTGGTAAGTTTTGGGGTAGTTTGTAATACAAGAATAGATAACCAGGACTACCTTGTCTCTGAACCTTCAGAAAATCCCTGAAGCCTTGCAGGGAAATCTCCCACTAAATTAGGGATATCAGATCTTTAAATACCTGAAGGAGTTCATGTCAGGAGAAACCACCCCAGCGCCAGACTATGAAATATCTGCTCATTCCCAGGCAGGTGTGAAGGAGCAGCCAGATCTCAAGAAACATTCTGAACTTTTGGCCCTATGATCCTGAATTCACTCACTCTATCAAACGCATGTTTTAGGCTAAGCATTGTGCTAGGCACCTGGGTGACGAAGGTGAGTAAGTTACCTACCTGCCGTCCCTATCACCGATCTTCCAATTCTCACCAATACCTTAACCTCAGCTATGTTCTCCGCCTCTTCACCATCCTCCATCCTCCAGCTCCTTATTACAGGATCAACAGATACACTGGGCCGGGTGCCATGGCTCATGCCTGTAATCCCAGCACTTTGGGAGGCCGAGGTGGGCATATCATGAGGTCAGGAATTTGAGACCAGCCTGGCCAGTACGGTGAAACTCCATCTCTACCAAAAAAAAAATTAGCTGGGAGTGGTGGCACAAGCCTATAATCCCAGCTGCTTGGAGGGTTGAGGCAGGAGAATCGCTTGAACCCAGGAGGCAGAGGTTGCAGTGAGCCTAGATCACGCCACTGCACTCCAGCCTGGACAATGGAGTGAGACTCTGTCTCAAAAAAAAAAAAAAAAAAAAAAAAACAACAGATACACTAACAGATACAGTGTTTTACTGAAGGCCGGGACATTTTGTGAGCTCTCTTAATATATGACTGTAGCTCTAAAATCACCTCTCCCAGGAAAGAGTCCCTTGGCAAGCAAGGAAGCAAATGAGAGAAGGAGAGGGAGAGGGAGAGAGAGAGAAAAGGCAGGCAGGAAGGAAGGAGAAAGAAAGAAAGAAAGAAAGAAAGAAAGAAAGAAAGAAAGAAAGAAAGAAAGAAAGAAAGAAAGAAAGAAAGAAAGAAAGAGAAAGAAAGAAAGAAAGAAAGAAGAGAAAGAAGGAAAGAAGGAAGGAAGGAAGGAGAGAGAGAGAAAGAAAGGGAGAAAGAGAGAAAGAAAGAGATAGAAGAAAGGGAGGGAAGGATGGGTGAAGAGAAAGGAAGGGAGGAAGGAAGGAAGGAAGGAAGGAAGGAAGGAAGGAAGGAAGGGAGGGAGGGAGGGAGGAAGAGAGGAAGGAAGGAAGGGAGGGAGGGAAGGAGGGAGGGAGGAAGGAATGGGTTTAGCTTTGAATATGGGTTTAGCCTACTGATTCAGGAGTCACATCATAGCTAAGGCAAGAGAATGGCGTCAACTCAGGAGGAAGGAAGGGAAGAAGGGAAGAGGGAGGGAGGAAGGAGGGGAGGAGAAGGGAAAAGAAGGAATGAAAGGAGGAGGAAGAGAAGAGCAAAGAAAGAAGGAAGGAAGAGAAAGGAAGAAAGGAGATCCAGCCAGGTACTGCTTAATACTAGCATTTTCTAATTAATTTTGTTTGTTCATTTTGCTTGTACAGTCTACTAGAAGTTCTCCAGTGTGCATTTTAGAATTCATGAGAGAGACAGAAACTCACCGTTAACTTAGTCTAAGACAACACAGTGAATTCAAAGGGAAACCTGAGCAGAATACAAATAGCTCTTAGGGAAAACATTTCTGACTTTGTACAAGATATAGCAAATCAATGTTTTTCTAATAGGACATTAACTGCTTCCCAAGCATAGCATGATCCGTTTCCCATGTTTAGATTTGTTTTATTTCAGAAGGAAAGCCAGTGAAGTCTTGCTCTAAAGGAGCTCCCTTAACTGACAATGCAGAATGAGTTCATTCTGAAGTCAGGGGACAATGTTTACATCTCCTGGTTTTCTCCTGGGGCTGTCATTTGCCATGGGCATGATGACCGCTGTGTGTAGTCTCAGCGTTTCTTGTTCCAGGTCCCCCAGGTGGAAGCTGGCATATGTGAGCAGACTCATCCTCATCGGAAGAGAGTATCTAGAAGTGGCCCTGGTGACATTAGCCACTGGTAAGCTGTAGGAGCAAGCCCTGAGCACTGAGATGCCTCCACAGTAGCAGCCTTCTCCTCTTTCCATCAGATCTGCTGAGATCTGATACAGAGCTTCTCTCTCACTTCTCTTATTTACAATGAATTGGTATAGAAGCCCTGTTATCAACTTAGTTCATTCTAGTCCATTACACCCATCATTAACAGTGGCTTGATGTACTTAGAACTCCCAGAAAATACCTAGAGCCTCCTCGACCCAAGTATCACAAATTTTAAACCAACAAGATGTTGCTAGGGTACTTGTGTTAGTCAGGATTCTCCAGGGACACAAAATCCATAGAATCCATACAGATATATGAAAAGACATTTATTATTAGAGATTGACTCACATGATAATGGAAGGTGAGAAGTCCCACAGCCTTCCATCTGCAAGGGCGAGGACCACAAACTCAGGTGGTGTAGTTCCAATCCAAGCTCAAAGGCCTGAGAACCAGGACAGCCAAGGGTGTACGTCCCAGTCTGAGTAAAAAGGCTCAAGAGCCAGAAGCTCTCATGCCCAAGGGCAGCAGAAGACAGATGTCGCAGCTCAAGCAAAGAGAGCAAGCTCACCCTTCCCCCATCTGTTTATTCCATCTCAGCCTTCAACAGACTGGGTGATGCCCACGCATATTGGTGAGGGGACATCCACCTTACTCAGTCTACAGATTCAAACGCTAATCTCGTCCAGAAACACCAGCACAGACACACCCAGAAATCATGATTTACCAACCCCCTGGGCATCTCTTAGCCCAGTCAAACTGACACATAAAATTAACTATGACAGCACTCCCACGCCTGGCAGGACGCACACAACCGTAGCAGTGAACTCTGGAGAACCAGCAAAGAATATAGCTGAGGGACAAGGGGTTGGCGACAGCTGGAACATCAATGACAGTGAGCATTGATCAATGCCTTCAGAACTGTGCTATTGCACCAAACCCACCACATCAGAACCCCTTGGAAAGGGACACAGCCCATAATAAGTAAGCCCCTATGGCCTTTGAATGTGTGTTCAGCCTACTGATTCAGGAGTCACATCATAACCAAATTGCTCCCCCTAGCTGCATCTGTACCGGGTCCCATCTCCCTCTCATTTGACGTCACCCCATCAGTGGATTCCAGCACCCTTCCCAACAGAATCTCCTGAAGTTGTCATTAGTGTATCTATTTTTTTTTTTTTTTTTTGAGACGGAGTCTCGCTCTGTCGCCCAGGCTGCAGTGCAGTGCCGCAATCTCCACTCACTGCAAGCTCCGCCTCCCGAGTTCACGGCATTCTCTTGCCTCAGCCTCCGAGTAGCTGGGACTACAGGCGCCTGCCACCACGCCCGGCTAATTTTTTGTATTTTTAGTGGAGACGGGGTTTCACCATATTGGCCAGGCTGGTCTGAAACTCCTGACCTTGTGATCCTCCCGCCTTGGCCTCCCAAAGTGCTGGGATTACAGCTGTGAGTCACCGTGCCTGGCCTCCTTTTAGTGTGTGTGTGTTTTTTTGTTTTTTGTTTTTTGTTTTTGAGACGGAGTCATGCTGTTGTCCAGGCTGGAGTGCACTGACATGAACTCGGCTCACTGAAACCTCTGCCTCCTGGGTTCAAGCGATTCTCATGCCTCAGCCTCCTGAGTAGCTTGGATTACTGGCGCCCACCACCTTGACTGGCTAATTTTTGGATTTTTTTTTTTTTTTAAGATGCAGTCTCGCACTGTTGCGCAGGCTGGGGTGCAATCGCGCAGTCTGAGCTCACTGCAACCTCTGCCTCTCGGGTTCAAGCAGTTCTCCTGCCTCAGCCTCCCGAGTAGCTGGGATTACAGGCGCTCGCCACCACACCCAGCAAATTTTTTGTATTTTTTAGTAGAGACAGGGTTTCACTATGTTGGCCAGGCTGGTCTCAAACTCCTGACCTCATGATCCTCCCGCCTTGGCCTCCCAAAGTGCTAGGATTACAGGCGTGAGCCACAGCGCCTGACCAATTTTTGCATTTTTAATAGAAATGGGGTTTCACGGTGTTGGCCAGGCTGGTCTCAAACACCTGGCCTCAATTGATCTGCCCAGCTTGGCCTCCCAAAGTGCTAGGATTACAGGCGTGAGCCACAGCGCCTGACCAATTTTTGCATTTTTAATAGAAATGGGGTTTCACGGTGTTGGCCAGGCTGGTCTCAAACACCTGGCCTCAATTGATCTGCCCAGCTTGGCCTCCCAAAGTGCTGGGATTACGGGCGTAAGCTACCGTGCCTGGCCAGTAATCAGTCATTTCTTATCCTTAGGCCTTCAAGTTTAGGAACCCGGCCAGAGACTCTTACTGAGAAGTTAAGAAAAAAAATATATATATATATTTATTACCAAGCCAATGACTGTCAATGATCATTTTCCTCTGCTGAATAGGTTAATTGTTCATGAGCTTATTTTTGGTTAGATATACCAATCATGGCCAGGCGCAGTGGCTCACTCCTATAATCCCAGCACTTTGGGAGGCTGAGGCAGGTAGATCACCTGAGGTGAGGAGTTCAAGACCAGCCTGGCCAACATGGTGAAACTCCGTCTCTACTAAAAATACAAAAATTAGCCAGGCCTAGTTGTGGGTGCCTGTAATCCCAGCTACTCGGGAGGCTGAGGCAGGAAAATCGCTTGAACCTGGGAGGTGGAGGTTGCAGTGAGCTGAGATCAGACCATTGCACTCCAGCCTAGGCAACAAGAGCGCAACTCTGTCTCAAAAAAAAAAAAAAAAAAACTGCATGGTTTTAATATCACAATGATGCCATTGGACTTTATAGAAGGCAAACGGGAAATGGAGCCTGGGTTTCCAAATAAATTATCATAAAATACTCCGTAATTAGGTGTAATAAGGGGATTCACAAAAAAATCTTTAATAAGTATTTGTTCACTTAAGGGTGCTCCACCTTAAGAAATTACTGTCAGGTCTTGGCAGAGAATGGGGAGAAGTTTGTGGGAGGAAAGAAGCCTGAAATTCAAATATTTTCCTTTTCGCCTACATATTTCTCTTTTTTTTTTTTTTTTTTTTTTTTGAGACGGAGTCTCGCTCTGTTGCCCAGGCCGGACTGCGGACTGCAATGGCGCAATCTCGGCTCACTGCAAGCTCCGCCTCCCGGGTTCACGCCATTCTCCTGCCTCAGCCTCCCGAGTAGCTGGGACTACAGGCGCCCGCCACCGCGCCCGGCTAATTTTTTGTATTTTTAGTAGAGACGGGGTTTCACCTTGTTAGCCAGGATGGTCTCGATCTCCTGACCTTGTGATCCGCCCACCTTGGCCTCCCAAAGCGCTGGGATTACAGGTGTGAGCCACTGTGCCAAGTCGACCCTCCTTCCTTTCTTACTCTATTGGCAGGAGAAACTATTGTAGGTCCCTCCAAACTACTAGTGCAACAGGAAAGAAGGAGAGTGGGAAGAATCATAGATTGCAAGTAGTGGGAAGAACAGAAAGTACAAACAAAGAAAATGAGTCTAAGGCTAAGCCATCTACATCTACCAACAATCTCTGTACCGTTTTCTTTTCAGTGAGGACTTACTGGGCATCTTCAATGTTCAGATGTGTGTAAGGCCCTAGAAAAACCAAAATGAATAACACACAGTTTCTGCATGCAAGCTCTTGCCACACCGGGGAAGATGGTCTCTACATTTCAGTCCCCAGCAGTCTTATCATCATTCAGTTGCACATGCCTGAATTGCTTTTTGTGAGCAGGCTTTTTGTGAGTCTACTGAAAAAGGTCAGGAAGACAAACAGCCTCCTTTAAAATACTGAATACATTGGAAGGGTAAACAGTACGTTGAATTGGTCTTGCAATATCAGCATTTCCAATTTTTGCCATTAAATATTTATAAGGATTTTAGATTTCTGGTGACGGATATTCTTTAACAAAATTAATTATAATGAAAACTTGGGAATGGTTCCTGTCTCTTTTCCCAAATAAATGTTTGCCTTGATTTATGCCCATTTTAATGCAAAAATTTTTCTCCATCACAGTCCTGAATACTACGACTTGTCTCAAACAAGAATTCTTGTTTTTATCAACTCAAGTCATTGAGAGGGAAATGTGTTTTTTTATTTAGCTTCTCAGTTGCTAATCAATCGCTAATTATCTTTAACCATATTGACCTTCTCCCACTGGTTTTGCCATAAAGATTAATGAGTGACATTACAAGGAGTACAATTTCATGCATTGAAAAGAATGGATTCATACATTATTCACTCCACATAAATACATGCACTTTCACTTGGAACTGTAAAAGATCAGAGAAAGAAGCACTGAGGAGAGAAACAATCTGACCAAGGCAAGAACTGGGACGGGAAAATTATATACGATGGAAATGGGGAAAGACAGACCAATCTGTGTACAAATGAAGCTGCTTGGAAGGAAGTAAGAACATGAGGGAAGACAAATAAATAAGTGCCTCCAACTGTGTGTACATCCTCATGGTGTGTGGCAGAATCCTGAGCCCCAGAGTCTTCCCTGGTCAAACACCACACCTGCAGCCCCCTCTGCTGGCTCCCAATGGGTACATCTGCAAAGAGCGAGTCCAGGCAAATGAACACTATTAAGATTCTCTGGTTGGCCCCCATACTCTCTGGTTTCCTATCCTATGAATAGTCAAAAAACAAAACAAAACAAAACAAAACTTTCTTCTGAACTAGAGGAAAAATAAATAAAAATAAATGGCCTCCTGTGGGCTTCTTTTCATTGAAATCCCTTTTGTTTTCTAGTTGGCCACCTAAAGAAGGAAGAGACAGTTGGTGCATCTTCCAGATCGAAATAAACTCTGGCTTCTGTTGGGTCATGAAGAAGAGAGGGAATGGGAAGAAATCTAAAATGAGAATCCGAAGAATATCCTCCAAAAGAGCTACTATTGTCCCCAGTTCTTGACACAGAGCTTCAATAACCTTTGGAATTTTCTGAGCAGTACAAGTGCCTTTGTTAAGCTAATGAGGTGACTCAGCCTAGGCCCCCTTCATGATGGGGCTATCATCAGGAAGACCAAGCAGGTAGATATAGGGTTGGGACTTTCAGCTGCCGGACCTCCGGGAAGAGGCTGGAGATTAAGTTCAATCGGGCAGCCAGTGATTTACTGAGTCAATGAAGCCCCAGTAAAGTCTTTGAACACCAACTCAGCGCAGCTTCCTCCTGGTCAGTGCACACATGGATGTGCCAGGATGGTGAAGCGCTCCAACTCCCTGAGGAGGGTGTGACAGCTCTGCTTGCCATGACTGGATTCCTGACCCACAAAAACAGCTAACTAATAAATGTTTGTTGTTTTAAGCCACTAAATTTTGGGGTAATTTGTTACACAGCAACAGATAGCTAATATGCATCCCAAGAGGTAAAAATAAGTATTCATTGAGTAACTTCACTGTGAAATTTTAGTACAGGAAATGCAAACAGAATATGTTTAAAACAACTGGAAAGGAAAATGTAGAACATCTGCAAAGAACAAAGATTAACAAACATCAGAAAATAACCAATCAATAAAAGGCTAAGAGACAATAAGCAACTGCCTAAAAGTTGACACCCAGTTACTATCATCAAAGAGTGAAGGGAAAATAAAGACACATCAGAGACTATCTGCAACTCACAGATCCTTGCTTAACAAACTTTTTTTTTTTTTTTTTTGAGACGGAGTTTTACTCTTGTTGCCCACGCAGTGAGCCGAGGTCGCACCGCGGCACTCCAGCCTGGCGACAGAGTGAGACTCCATCTCAAAAAGTAATAATAATAAATTGGGGGAAATTAAAAACACGTTGGAACTAAATATTGAAGAAAATACTACGTAAGGAAGGAAGTTATTAATCAGAGATACATATTCTTTTTTTTTTTTTTTTTTTTTTGAGACTGAGTCTCACTCTGTCGCCCAGGCTGGAGTGCAGTGGCACCATCTCGGCTCACTGCAAGGTCCGCCTCCTGGGTTCAAGCGATTCTCCTGCCTCAGACTCCCGACTAGCTGGGATTACAGGTGCGTGCCACCATGCCCAGGTAATTTTTGTATTTTTAGTAGAGACGGGGTTTCATCATGTTGGCCAGGATGGTCTGGATTTCTTGACCTCGTGATCCGCCCACCTTGGCCTTCCAAAGTTCTGGGATTACAGGCACAAGCCACTGCGACCAGCCTAATCAGAGTTAAATATTCTTAAGTCGTGTGTGTGTGTGTGTGTGTGTGTGTGTGTGCGCCCGTAAAGAAAGGGGTCTCAATATGTTGCTCAGGCTGGTCTCAAACTCCTAGGCTCAAGAGATCCTTCTGCCTTTGCATCCCTAAGTGCTGGGATTACAGGATTACATGCATGAGCCACCAAGACCAGTTGACCCTTGAACAACATGGAGGGTTAGGGGTACCAATCCCTTGGGCAGTCAAAAATGCACTTATAACTTTTGACTCCCCCAAAACATAACTACTAATAGCCTACTGAGAGGTGAAGCCAGCTGGACTTCCTGGGTCCAGTGGGGACTTGGAGAACTTTTCTGTCTAGCTAAAGGTTTGTAAAAGCACCAATCAGTACTCTGTAAAATTGCACGAATCAGCACTCTGTGTCTAGCTTAGGTTTGTAAACGCACCAATATGCACTCTGTAAAAATGGACCAATCAGCACTCTGTAAAATGGACCAATCAGCAGGATGTGGGCGAGGCCAAATAAGGAAATAAAAGCTGGCCACCTGAGGCAGCAGCAGCAACCCCGTCAGTCCTCTTCGACTTTGTGGAAGCTTTGTTCTTTCACTGTTCGCGATAAATCTTGCTGCTGCTCACTTTTTGGGTCCGCACTACCTTTATGAGCTGTAACACTCACCAGGAAAGTCTGCAGCTCCATTCCTGACATCAGTGAGACCACGAACCCACCGGGAGGAACAAACAACTCCGGACGCACCACCTTTAAGAGCTGTAACACTCATTGCGAAGGTTTGTGGCTTCACTCATGAAGTCACTGAGATCATGAACCCACCAAAAAGAAGAAACTCTGGACACATCTGAACATCTGAAGGTACAAACTCTGGACACACCATCTTTAAGAACTGTAACACTCTCTGTGAGGGTCTGTGGCTTCATTCTTGAAGTCAGTGAGACCAAGAACCCACCAGAAGGAACCAATTCCAAACACAGAAGGATTAAAGCGAGCTGTATAAGGAGGAAGGGATCAATTCACCACAAAGATGATCACAACTTATGTGAACTCGTGTGGCCTTAACAATATAGCCTCAAAACATGGAATTGTTTTTGAAAACATTCCAAGGAAAAATGGTCAAATCTACAGTCATACTGAAGAGTTTAATATATGTCTCTTACCAAGTGATATAACCAGCAGAAAAAAAAAGATTCAAAAAGTATAAACAAAACAATAAACAAGCCTAATCTAATGAGCATATATAGAACCCTGCACCCAATAATTATAAATGAATTTTCCTTTCAAGTACATTATACAGGGAACAATTACAAAAATTGATCACATTCTTAAGTTGTTCATGAATTTTCGACCAATGTAATTGAGTCAATGTCATCCTGACCATGTTCGTTGACCATTAAGCAATAAAATCAGAAGCAAATATCCAAAAGTTCAACAAAAAAAAAGTTATATAGTTACCACTTAAGAGCTTCTAAAATGTCATTGCAAACAAAGCTTTAGGAGTCAGCATACTCCCCTTCTCCTCCTGGAAATCATAAAGAAGCAGCAAGGAGAACCAAAGCCACTTTTATAAACCCCATTTTTTTAGCGAAACCAGGAGACAGATATAACCCACAGACTACAAATTATCTACAGAAGCTTCCAAAAGCCACTGAAATGGGGCAAAAGTCACTCAAGAGGAATTGAAGAGAACAAAACACAGTGGAAGTTAATCTTGTAAAACGCCAGCAAAAACATGCTCCCTGGGGGTGAGGGAAAAACAAAAGGCAACAACTATATCCCTTATTTGCAGCAACCTACCCTCGATTTGCAACAGTGGGCGTGGAAATGGTAGGGGCGGGGTGTCCTGTGTGGTTCAGTGAAACCAACAGCAGGGATAACACACATGAGTCATGTTTGTCTCTGTGACCGCCAGAATTCATCTTTCAAGTATAAAAATAACTAACAGTAAATAAACATACAAGAACTCAAGGAACATTGTTCCCATGAGTCTTCCTGAGGAGATTAATAAAGGATGAATCTCAGCCAACCAACTTAGGGAAATAACAGAAAAAAAAAATGGCTGACTATATAGAACTAAAACATAAACAACTCTAAAGTTTAAAGTAGTAGACTGTAACATGCATGTTATATACCCTGACAGTGCAGAAAAGATTCGTTTAGTAGAAATGTGGCAGGAAAGTGAGAAGAAAGCATGGAAATTAGGATAAATTCATTGAATGCTTAATCCAAAATAGCCAGTTCTAAAATACAGCTTAGAGCTAAAAAAGTAAGTAAATTCTAAACATCCATTATAGTATTAAGACAATATGATGAATAATAATATTAATAAATGTAAAATAGGTGGTTGAGGAATGGAAATGGGGAAAAAAACAAGCTAATTTTATGATTCTTCTTAGAAACTAATAGATATTCTTTAAAGAAATAGAGTTCTGAGATAATTATATGATTATATAAAAGTAACCCTAAAATAAAAATACGAACTTTACTAATTACCCAAAAATTAAGAAAAGAAACAAAGCAAAGAGTTCACAGTTAACACTATATATATATTTTTTCTTTTTCTTTTTCTTTTTTTTTTTTTTTAAACAGACTCTTGCTCTGTCACCCAGGCTGGAGTGCAGTGGCGTGATCTCAGCTCACTGCAACCTCTGCCTCCCAGATTCAAGCAATTTTCCTGCCTCAACCTCCTGAGTAGCTGGGATCACAGGTGTGCGCCACCACACCCAGCTAAATTTTGTATTTTTAGTAGAGACAGGGTTTCACCATGTTGGTCAGGCTGGACTCAAACTCCTGATCTCATGATCGGCCTGCCTCAGCCTCCCAAAGTACTGGAATTACAGGCGTGAGCCACTACATCTGGCCAATACTATATTTTTAATATATTTCATTTTTTAGAGCAATTTTAGATCCACAGCAAAATTGAATGGAAAGTACAGAATTCCTATATACTTGACCCCACATGCTCACAGCCTCCCCCATCAAAATCCCTACACAGAGTGCTATGTTTGTTACAGTCGATGAAACTACATTGAAACGTCATTATCAGTCAGATCCCATAGTTTACATTTGGGTCACTCTTGGTATTGCACATTCCGTGGGTTTGGACAGATGTATGATGATGTGTATACACCATTATAGCATCATACAAAGCAGTTTCATTTCCCCCCAAAATCCTCTGTGTTCTGACTGTTTGTCCCTCCCTCCCCACTAAGCCCGGGCAACCCACTGGTCTTTTTCCTGTCTCTATAGCTTTGCCTTTTCCAGAATGTCTTGAGTTGAAACCATACAGGATGTAGCCTTTTCAAATTGGCTTCTTTCACTTAGTAACCTGCATTTAAGTTTCCTCCTCCAAGTCTTCTCATGGCTTGATAGTTCTTTTGTGTGTGTGTGTGTGTGTGTGTGTGTGTGTGTGTGTGTGTGTGACAGACAGAGTCTCGCTCTGTCGCCTGGGCTGAATTTCAGTGGCGCGATCTCGGCTCACTGCAACATCCGCCTCCTGGGTTCAAGCAATTCCCCTGCCTCAGACTCCCGAGTAGCTGGGACTACAGGCGTGTGCCACTAGGCCCAGCTAATTTTTGTATTTTTAGTAGAGACGGGATTTCACCATGTTGGTTGGCCAGGATGGTCTCTATCTCTTGACCTCATGATCCACCCACCTCGGCCTCCCAAAGTGCTGGGATTACAGGCATGAACCACCGCTCCCAGTGGATAGTTCATCTCTTTTAGTGCTAATAGTCCATTGTCTGGATATGCCACAGTGTGTATATATATCCAGTGACTTATTGACGGACATCTTGAATGATTCCAAGCTTTGGCAACTATGAATAAAGCTGCCGTAAACATCCGTGTGAAAGTGTTTGTGTGGATATCAGTTTTCATTTCCTTTGGGTAAATACCAAGGAGCACAATTGCTGGATCACATGCTAAGAATATGTTTAGTTTTGTATGAAACTGCCAAATCATCTTAATATTTGTAAACATAAAAACAATGCAAAGTGTTAAATAATATGATACAACCAAGATCAAATATCACTTTCATATTAAAAAATGCAAGGGGACTATTATAAGAGACAGATTTTTAGATTGGATCACAAAACAAAATCTTATCATTTTAATCTTTAAAAAATGCTTACAGTATAGCATGCAGCCAACATACAGGCGCTTTATGTAGCTTTGCTCTTTGGAAACAGCTATCGTGACTAGAGTAGCCACTAAACACTGCGATTTATAGTTTAATTTGATCTGTCTCCCACTTGTGTACAGTGGAGTGGATTCAAAAGCCAGACCGAGGCACACCTGGGCAGTCCAGGAGGTCGGCTCTGATCACCCACTTCCTTCGAGTTCTACTTGCCTGACCCTCCTCTGACTCCCTATACCTCCTCCACCCTTCATCCTGCTCCTATTCCTGTCTCCTAATCCGTACATGAGTTCACAGGTATCAGGTCAGGAATTCATCCTTCTCACACTCACAAAGATACACATAAGACACTCTTTAAGAGACTTCAACAATGAGATACCACTTCACACCCATTAGGATGGCTATCATCAAAAAGCAAGACCAAAAAATATCAAGTGTTTGTGAGATGTGGAGAAACTGAAACCCTCATGAACTGCTGGTGGAAATGCAAAATGGAGCAGCTTCTGTGGAAAACAATATGATGGTTTCTCAAAAAATCCAACACTGAGCTACCATATGACCTGGCAACTCTATTTCTAAGTAGGTGCCCAAAAGAATCGACAGGAGAGACTCAAACAGATACTTGTTCACCCAGCTTACTAGCAGCATTGTTCTCAATAGCCAAAAGGTAGAAGCAACCCAGCTGTCTTATATTTGGATGAATGGATAAACAAAATGTGATCTATTCATACAATGGAATATTATCCAGCCTTAAAAAAGGAAAGCAATTCTGACACGTTACCACCTCGATGAACCTTGAAGACATTACACTAAGTGAAAAAAGACAGTCACAAACAAGACCGAGGAGTGGCCGGGCACGGTGGCTCACGCCTGTAATCCCAGCACTTTGGGAGGCAGAGGCAGGCGAATCACGAGGTCAGGAGATCGAGACCATCCTGGCTAACACGGTGAAACCCCCTCTCTACTAAAAATATAAAAAATTAGCCAGGCATGACGGCAGGTGCCTGTAGTCCCAGGTACTCGGGAGGCTGAGGCAGGAGAATGGTGTGAACCCGAGAGGCAGAGCTTGCAGTGAGCTGAGATGGCGCCACTGCACTCTGGCCTGGGTGACAGAACAAGACTCGGTCTCCAAAAAAAAAAAAAAAAAGTGAGGAGTTAGTGTTCAAAGGGGAAGATGAAACTGTGCTTAATGCCACTGAACTATACACTTCAAAATGGTGAAAGGGATAAATTTTATGTCCCATTTATTTTACCATAATAAAAAAAAATTCAATCTTGAACAACTGGGTTTTTGGCTCAAGGCAAATAGAAGGGAACACACATTTTGAATAGTATGCAGAACAGAGTGGTCTCAGTCAGTCAATAACTGTTGTTTAAGTGCCTACTGTCCCTTACACTATAATGGAAGTTCAACAGTCCATTTTGAAGACAAACCAGTTAAAAAAGCAATTATAATGAAGAGTGGTAAGTGCTATCAGAGGATAAATACAAGCTAGCACATTGGAATGATTACACAGAGGACCTGCCCAGACCTGTGGACAACTGTCCATGCAGTTTCTATGGAGCACAATAAACCTGGCCTGCAGTTCACACCTTTTGAAGAGTATATCAGTGCAGGGCAGGGGGACGGTCAACCAAGTAACATTTTTAATATTCCATGTGACATTAGCTTAAAAATGGGGGCTTTGATATGACATATGAGGTTGGTATTCCTTCAAAAGAAATATGCAAAATCTTTTCTCCCTTAAGCCACATGTAGGGCATCTCATTAATACTGTTAGTTGGCTTATTGCAAGGTGCATAATAGAGACCTGGAAAGGGCACATTTCTCACAGCAGCACCTCCCTTTGATAGATGCAGGAGGCAGATAAGGCAGGCTCCCTGGAGAATCTCTGACCCTCCCCACAAGTGTTTACATCAGATGCTTTTGTAAACATGAGGGAACCTTCCCAGGGCCTTGTCTGGGCTTGCCCACAATGTACTGGAGGCCCGCCTGTGCACTGGGAGAATGGGGTGGAGCCACTGGGATTTGCGCCTTATGCAGAGGGGAGGAGCCTGGCCTCTTCAGCTCATGTATGTGCATCTGTGTGTGTCTGTGTGTGTTTTGGTGGCCTGGTATTCAATCTGTGAGGTGGGAGCCTGTTGGCAGGACCCCCTATTTGTTTGCCGACAGCTTTCTTTTAATAAATCCCGCTCTCCTCACCTTTGAGTGTATTCGTGTGCCTAATTTTTCCTGGTTGTGTGGCAAGAACCTGGATTTTACATGAACTAAGGAGCAAAAAACTCCTGCATCGCTTTGATAGCTCCCCTGTTCGGGTGGCATGTGGGTGGGGCACGGAGCCTATTTTCCTTCATAAAAGCTTCTCATAGAGGACAAAATGGAGTTGAAAATGAGTATAGAGTTCTTATTTCTTTGGTTTGATAGTAGCATTACTGCTACCACACTTAGTTCACGAAGAGAAATATCATCTGTAGGGTGACATGCTCTTTTTTAATGCTTTGGTCACATGTTGCCAAGTTCCTTCCAGAAAAGTTGGCCCATTCCTAAGCGATGCATAGGAATTGGACACGTTATTTTCTGGGAAAGAATATGGGGCAATTGGGCCAGGTGTGGTGGCTCACGCCTGTAATCCCAGCACTTTGGGAGGCGAAGGTGGGCATATCACAAGTTCAGGAGATCGAGACCCTCCTGGCCAACATGGTGAAACCCTGTCTCTACTAAAAATACAAAAATTACCTGGGCATGGTGGCACACACCTGTAATCCCAGCTACTTGGGAAGCTGAGGCAGGAGAATCGCTTGAACCAGGGAGTTGGAGGTTGCAGTGAGCCGAGATCATGTCACTGCACTCTAGTCTGGTGACAGAGCAAGATTCCATCTCAAAAAAAAAAAAAAAGAAAGAAAAGAAATAGGGCAATTGGCTGGAAGATTTAAATGTTCCTAAAAGATAAACCCACTGAATTTTTTGAGGGCATATGTGCCCTTCTATTTTCTTACCAAAAAAACCAGGAACTACAAATGGTCCATTTTCTTTTTCTTTCTTTTTTTTTTTTTTTTTTTTTGAGACAGAGTCTTCCTCTGTCACCCCAGCTGGAGTGCAGTGGCGCGATCTTGGCTCACTGCAAGCTCCGCCTCCCAGGTTCATGTCATTCTAACCTGCCTCAGCCTCCCAAGTAGCTGGGACTACAGGCGCCTGCCACCAAACCCTGCTAATTTTTTGCACTTTTAGTAGAGTCAGGGTTTCACCATGTTAGCCAGGATGGTCTCGATCTCCTGAACTCGTGATCTGCCTGCCTTGGCCTCCCATAGTGCTGGGATAGTGCTGGGATTACAGGCATGAACCACCGCGCCCAGCCAAATGGTCCTTTCTTTCTATCTTTCCATATGAGAGGCGAATGTTATTAATGTTGCTTTTCTTTCCTATAACACAATAAGTTGTAACAAAAAGAATCCTGGGCTGTTATGACATGAGTCTAAGGCTAAGAAAACGAGCTCCCAACACACCCTCTAGGTACCATAGTAGCTCCTTATTTTCCCTGGACCTCCCACCCAGCCATGCCACTTTTAACCATTTCCACTGTGCTTTCTCCGCATTTATGTCTTATTTGATGCCTGCCTGGTATCTCTGATCTCTGCCTGCCCTGACTTGTGGATTGATGCCTCGTTGCTACTACTCAGTGTCAGGGTTCTTGTCCACACAGCATTCCTCGTCCTCTGAGTCTTGTACAGCAGGTAGCTCTTTCCCTCATCCCAGGACCTGACCTCCATGGCAGATTCTGGCCGCAAAGGAGTCTGACCCAGGTCAATGAGCCTGGGCTGAGCCCAGCAAATATGCTCAAAACATACATAGTGTGTAATAGATTAAGAACTGAATGACATTGAATGATATATGATAGAAAGCCATCGGTTTTCTAAAACCTGGTCCTAATTTTCCCCTTATCCTACAGAAAATAGGAACAGAGAGAGAGAGAAATTCTGATTTTCTGGTTATTGAACTAAATTACCCATCTAATTAGACTGCAGGATTCTTGTTAGGTCGTCTTTCTGTAGGCTGGTGCTAGAGTTTGACTTATAATAGGTACAACAGATGCATAATCTCCTCCTCCAGGGTCAGCTGCTCTACCCACAGCCCCTTCTCCCTTCTACCACCTCTTAATTTTCTTTTTTTTTTCTTTTTTTTTGAGATGGAGTCTCGCTCTGTCATCCAGGCTGGAGGGCAGTGGCACAATCTCGACTCACTGTAAGCTCTGCCTCCTGGGTTCAAGTGATTCTCGTGCCTCAGCCTCCCAAGTAGCTGGGGTTACAGGTGCCCGCCACCACACCCAGCTAATTTTTGTATTTTTAGTAGAGACAGGGTTTCACCGTGTTGGTCAGGCTGGTCTCGAACTCCTGACCTCGTGATCCACCTGCCTGGGCCTCCCAAAGTGCTGGGATTACAAGCATGAGCCACTGTGCCTGGCTGCACCCCTTAATTTTCAATTACCATCCTCCACTCAAGTTAATGATCCTATCTTCCAACACTGAACCCAAACTTTTCATGTCTTGCCCAGCTCCCTTCATGAAGCCAAGTGCCAGCTCAATAGGCAAAGTGTTGGCCCAAAACCAAACTGCCATCTGTGCTGGGATCTCCGGTTCACTGTGGCCTGGCTCCGGTACTGGGATCTCTGACCCTGGTTGTCCAGTTATTGTTCTATCTTTCCTACAGACTTCCCATTTGCTGACCCTCTGCCTGAATTCTGATTCAGAACACGCATTTTCCTAACCAGGCCAGCCTGCTCTGATATCAATGTTTGTTAATGTTATAGCAATAAGTGACTAAGTCATGGTCAACTGATTAACCTGATAGAGTAGTTTTCCATTGCAAGAATAATAAGCCAAATAAATCTGGCCCATTTCTCTCATATCCTTACTATATTTAACAAGGAGTTGGTGGCCGGGCATGGTGGCTCACGCCTGTAATCCCAGCACTTTGGGAGGCCCAGTCGTGTGTATCACGAGGTCAGGAGATCAAGACCATCCTGCCTAACATGGTGAAGACCCATCTCTACTAAAAATACAAAAAAATTAGCCAGGTGTGGTGGCGGGCGCCTAAAGTCCCAGCTACTCAGGAGGCTGAGGCAGGAGAATGGCGTGAACCTGGGAGGCGGAGCTTGCAATGAGCCAAGGTTGTGCCACTGCACTACAGCCTGAGCGACAGAGCAAGACTCCAACTCAAAAAGAAAAAGCGGAAAAAACAGCAACAACAAAAAAATGATCATTTGTTTGTGTTTATCTGTAATTAGATTTGGAGTATTTCATCTTTGAAATTTCATCATCTTGAAAATGTCTTTTCACATAAATAGGAATGACCAAGTACTGACATAAATCCACGAACATATGATTTTAATGGAGAATATTCATCACAAGGATATTTTAGGATTCTATTAGATTCTTCTCTTGATAGTTTTAGCATGCTGCTACATTGCTACACTGCAAATGTATCACTTCTAGTTGAAAGCTAGGTAGAAGCTCTCAATTCCACAGTTTAATACATTTTGAAGTATGGAAATTTCAATCCATACTTGCATTGAGGATAAAACTGTAGTTTAAGCTTAGAAATTATACCCACTACAAAACTGTGTAAGAATAAAGGTCTTACTTCTTGCTTTAACTTTTTACATCACTTCAAGTCTATAAGTAGCTTGGCATTATTTGTGATCCAAATAACATGTTATTGTCAAAATGACTTTCCAGCAATGTAAACTTCATAAACGAGTAATGTTTTGCCTTGAAATTTTAGGTTTACTTAAAAATATTGTCGAGTCTGGAACAAACATTAATTTCCAAAGCCATGTAGTATTGAAGGGAGTTCTTCTCATTCAGATTAATTTAATCTTGACCATAGAGCTTTACCACTGTTAAGCCACTGAAAACAAGTCAGGACATTCACTTTTATATCTGACAATATTTTACAGAAGGGACAATGGTAAAGTCCACCAAGAGCGAAGAGAGTTAACATTGAAACTACTGATTCAATAATATACGATATATTCAAATATTTTCTGCATAGTGCCTGCTGATGACAAAATAAATAACCATAGGCTTTACACACTTTGCATTTTCACAAGCTTTGTAAATTTGTCCAAGACTTTTTCTGCTCCATACATATTTTACCATCATCAGCTGTAACCCATTTTATCAGATTCCACTTGATGTTGTACTTGGTGTTTTCTGTGACCCTATTCTCATCAGAAGTGTTCTCAGTAGACTATTCATCGAGCCTAATCTTTCATTTTTTTATTATTTATTTATTTATGTATTTATTTATTTTTGAGAGTCAGTCTCACTCTGTCACCCAGGCTGGAGTGCAGTGGCGCAATCTGGGCTCACTGCAAGTTCCACCTCTCGGGTTCACGCCATTCTCCTGCCTCAGCCTCCCGAGTAGCTGGGACTACAGGCACCCGCCACCATGCCCAGCTAATTTTTTGTATTTTTAGTAGAGATGGGGTTTCACCATATTTGCCAGGATGGTCTCAATCTTGTGACCTCGTGATCTGCCCGCCTCGGCCTCCCAAAGTTCTGGGACTACAGGCATGAGCCACCATGCCCGGCCTAATCTTTCATCATTTTAAACTCAGCATTGACTCCTTAAATAACAACTGAGAAGCATTAGTAACATCTGTCAACTCATTAAGAACCAACAGAAATCACTTACTTTGTTTTTGATACTGCTATTTATCCCAAATTCCCCAACTATTTGAGCAACTATTCGAGCAACTATTCTTGCTGAAAGGCTAATAGTCTTATTTCCTCTGGACAGAGTCCAGGGTTTATTTTCTCTGGACACATTCCTTTGGCTGCTAATCAAACATGATGTAATTAACTTACCATCAATAAATAGCTCTCCTTGCTTGGTTAACAAATGAGCCTCATGGAAAATCACTTTCCTTGCAGCAATTTTTTTTTTTTTTTTTTTTTGAGATGGAGTTTCACTTTTGTCACCAAGGCTGGAGTGCAACGGTGTAATCGTGGCTCACTGCACCCTCCGCCTCCCAGGTTCAAGCAATTCTCCTGTCTCAGCCTCCCAAGTAGCTGGGATTACAGGCACCTGTCATCACATCCAGCTAATTTTTATGTTTTTTAGTAGAGACAGGGTTTTGCCAGGTTGGCCAGGCTGGTCCTGAACTCCTGACCTCAAGTAGTCCACCCACCTCCCAAAGTGCTGGATTACAGGCGTGAGCAACCACGCCCGGCCACAGCATCATTTTTATTGTTCATTTTTGTGAACAAATTCAGCTATATTAAAATATTCTTTTTTAAATTATCTAATTTTCTAGACCATTGCCTTTCTGTAAGTTAGGAAGATTGTGATAAGTGCTTAGTCTGGTTATGATGATGCATATTGTATTTTTTAGCCTAACTACAGTGTCATTCTATTATAAATATGATTCTTTGTCATCTAATTCAATAACAAAATAATCAACACTGCTATGCCTTAGAAGTGTGACATTCCGGGAGGCTGAGGGACGAAAATGGCATGAACCCGGGAGGCAGAGCTTGCAGTGAGCCGAGACTGCGCCACTGCACTCCAGCCTGGGCACCAGAGCGAGACTCTGTCTCAAAAACAATTAAAAAAAAGAAAGTATTACATTCAAAGTCCTCTTTTTGACAGAGGGTAGTGGCTCACACCTGTAATCCCAGCACTTTGGTAGGCCGAGGTGGGTGGATCACCTGAGGTCAAGAGTTCAAGACCGGCCTGCCCAGCACGGTGAAACCCCGTCTCTACTAATACAAAAATTAGTCGGCATGATGGTGGACGCCTGTAATTCCAGCTACTCAGGAGGCTGAGGCAGGAGAATTGCTTGAACCTGGGAGGCAGAGGTTGCAGTGAGCCAAGATTGCACCACTGCACTCCAGCCTGGGCAACAGAGAAAGACTCCGTCTCAAAACAAAACAAAAAAACAAAGTCATCATTTTCTTTCCTTTTCTGTTTTGTTTTCACATAATGGGTATGCACTGGGTAATAAAATAAATATTACAGCATGCAGATATGTATGGCACTTGAAATAATGTCAAGTTTTGAGTTTACTGTGATTTGTAATGTGCTGAGAAGAGCATGACGCTACGAGGACCCCACTCAGGACTATTGTGCCTACACAATTCTGCCACTGTAACCCAAAAGTGACCACAGGCAGCTCAGAAATGAATGAGTGTGGATATGTTCTAAGAAAACTTTAAGTATGGACACTGGAATTTGAAATTCGTATGATTTTCGTGTGTCACAAAATATTAATTAAAAAGTAAATTATTGACAGGGTGCAATGGCTCATGCCTGTAATCCCAGCACTTTGGGAGGCCGAGGCGGGCAGATCATGAGCTCAGGAGATCAAGACCATCCTGGCTAACACAGTGAAACCCCGTCTCTGCTAAAAATACAAAAAATTAGCTGGGCATGGTGGCGGGTGCCTGTACTCCCAGCTACTTGGGAGGCTGAGGCAGGAGAATGGCGTGAACCTGGGAGGCGGAGCTTGCAGTGAGCCGAGGTCGCACCACTGCACTCCAGCCTGGTAGACAGAGCAAAAAAAAAGCAAATTCTTTTCAGCCATTTAAAAACGTAAAAGCCGTTCTTAGCTCATGGGCCATACAAAAACAGAGGGTCAGCTGGGTTTAAACCTCAGGCTGTAATTTACTGACCCCTGTATTAAACAGCAGGCAAGCCAAAGTTAAAAGTTATAAAAGTTAATACAAAAGGCCGGGCGCAGTGGCTCACGCCTGTAATCCCAGCACTTTGGGAGGCCGAGGCGGGTGGATCATGAGGTCAGGAGATCGAGACCATCCTGGCTAACAAGGAGAAACCCCGTCTCTACTAAAAATACAAAAAATTAGCCGGGCGTAGTGGCGGGCGCCTGTAGTCCCAGCTACTCGGGAGGCTGAGGCAGGAGAATGGCGTGAACCCGGGAAGTGGACTTGCAGTGAGCCGAGATTGCGCCACTGCAGTCCGCAGTCTGGCCTGGGCGACAGAGCGAGACTCCGTCTCAAAAAAAAAAAAAAAAAAAAAAAAAAAAAAGTTAATACAAAAATTAGCTGGGCATGGTGGCAGGTGCCTGTAATCCCAACTACTTGGGAGGCTGAGGCAGGAGAATTGCTTGAGCCGGGGAGGTGGAGGTTGCAGTGAGCTGAGATTGCGCACCACTACACTCCAGCCTGGGTGACAAGAAAAAAAAAGAAAGAAAATGAGGGCGGTGGTGTCTAATCTGATTCTAACATTTGAGAAATTTTGCAGTGGCTGTACCCAATAGGCTCTCACATCCCACTAGTAAGTAATTGTGGTTATTTAAAAATGAAATTTTTTAAATTATGCATTTCTTCAAATGGCTGCTAAATTGGTAGTCCAAACTACTTATTAGTGTATTATAACTTCTCTACTTAATAAACAGAACTCTTAGATATATTTTTGAGCCTAGGAATATTTTGAAAAAATTTTGAAGACACTAAGGGATCTATGCGCCTAACAAATTTGGAAACCTATCATCCAGACTATGATTTAAGTCACAGCCAGCTCCTTCTGAAACAGGTGGGGCCTCTCTGGGAAAGAGAGCAATTCTCCCACGCAAGTCAAAATCCTCCACCAAGGAGATGGAAATCAGGATACACGTGCCTGGGACTCTTCTTTCCTAATGACTTGGAACCTATAGGGGGGAAAGTAGAAAATGGAAATAACCCAAAGAAGGTACATAAGAACCGAAAGACAAGCAAATAGAAAAATCACGACGGGGAGTCTGTATTTCCACCCTGCTCTTTTTTCTTTTTCTTTTCTCCAGACCCGCATGCCTCCTCGACAGTGTGTTTCCCCATCACTTCTAATCCCAGCCTTGTTTGTTGATTTGCTTGGGCTGTTACAGTGGAATTTGGTTTTATTGAATTCTCAGCATGAAAACGATCCTTGCTGAAAGCAAAATTGTGTGTAAAAGTTATATCTTCCTTCTAGACAGTGATATGAGCATCCTCTGTGAGTGAGCCTAATCCCTTTTCAGTGGGGGGTCTGCTGGAAGTAAATCATGGAAGGGACACTCACCACCCCCACCCCGTGGAGTTGTTCACATCGCCTAAGCATGCCTTTGCAGCCACAGAGTTGCAAAGAGGGAGAGCTGTAAGAAAATTCGCCCATTCACTTACCTGTGTCGGGCCCACTTCTCCCTTCCTCCGTGAAGTCCCAACCCCCTGTGCCATCTGGGTTCTCAAAGAGTCCTGGGAGCTCCCATCCTTCCAGTACCTCGATACACGTCACCCTTCGGCCATTCGGCTCACCGTGCGCCCCGGCATGCAGCCTGCAGAGCTATACCCTCTACCTATACCTCCATCTCTCCTGTCCTCCTGTCCATCTGATGAAAATCAACTCTTCCAAGAGCAAGCACCCTCTTTTTTTTTTTTTTTTTTTTTTTGAGACAGAGTCTCGCTCTGTCACCCAGGCTGGAGTGCAGTGGCGTGATCTCGGCTCACTGCAAGCTCCACCTCCTGGGTTCAGGCCATTCTCCTGCCTCAGCCTCCCGAGTAGCTGGGATTACAGGCGCCCGCCACCACGCCCGGCTAATTTTTTGTATTTTTAGTAGAGACGGGGTTTCACCATATTAGCCAGCGTGGTCTCGATCTCCTGACCTCGTGATCCGCCCGCCTCGGCCTCCCAAAGACCTGGGATTACAGGCGTGAGCCACCGCACCTGGCCAAGCAAGCACCCTCTTAAGCCAAATAAAGGATTCCTCTTTCTCATGCCCGCAATGAAGCTGCCGCTCACTGGCTGCCTTTGGCTTTGACCTAGTCACAGTGAATTGCAATAGTCTGCTGCGCTTCTGTCTGCTGTCTATCAGGCTTTGACCTTTGGGAAGAGGAGGCTCTGTCTCTTTTATCTTTGTCTCACATTCGCCTAGAACGGTGACTGGCACTTAGGAGAAGTGGAGGAATATCTGTTGATTTATAAATGAATAACTGAGGGCTGTCATCGTCTTTCCTCTGTGCTGTTGAGGAAAGCTGAAGAGACGGCCAGCCCTTCAGCTCTATGATGACAGGTAGCTTTGATTTTGCACTTTAGAGCTTTTTCATGCACATAAATCCATTAGTTTTTCTAACAACCTCAAAGGAAGTATTATTTTTGTCACTTGCATATAACTTCTAAAATGAAGTTTGGAACCATTACAAGACCTAACCCAAAACACACAGTTATTAATTGGCAGGTGTGGAACTTGAACTCAGCCTTACTGAACACCAGTCCAGCATCCTTCCTTCAATAACAGCATTTGCTCTGTGAAGCCATGCGTGCCATGCTAGTAGGCTCTTCCTCCTACCTTGCATGTGAGTTGCATAAGGCAGTGTTTGAGCTAGGGCTCCTTGGTTAGAAACAACAGAAACTGATCCAGACTCACTTAAGCAAAGGGCGTTTATTATAATCATGTTGAGGGTCTATAAAATCTGTGAGAGGCTAAAGAAACGGTCAGCCTACTAAGGGAGGTGAGATGCTACAGTCACAACTGCTTTTCTGCAAAAACAGACCTAGCAGGATACCCAGGCTGGGAAGAGTCCATTGCAGTGGCTTCTTGCACCTCTGAGCCATTCTTTCCGGAGTCAAAGTTCTGGCAGATGGTTTCATTGGCCAAGCATCAGTCACTTGCACCTCTATAGCTGTACTTGGTGGGAGAAAAAGGAGCCGGCTCCTTTAGTTTCAACAGTAGGAGAAAGGCACCCGTACTTACCATCCCCTCCATAACTGCACAAAATGTGGGATGAATAATTCCCCAAAAGGGAATTGAGTGTGGACGGGTAATAGAAAAAATGTTGCATGATAATAAACAGACAAATAAATGCAACACTCAAGAATAATATTATTGATTTTGGAGCATTTTACATAGAAAAGAAACAGAAAAGAGAATGTGTTTGTGTTGATTGTTTTCCTGAATGGAACTATAATAATCGTAACCAACATAGTCATCTATATTTAAAAGTCAAGTAACGGTGCTTTCAACTCACACATAAAATCTCAAAATGTGAAAGATTTCAGGCTGCTGTACCATAGATGTTCAATGAAATTTTTTCTCTTCCTTTCTTTCTTTCCATTTGTTTTTCCTGGCTTTATTAAAGCATAATTGACAGATACATATTTCTTTCTTTAAATATGTCTACCTTCCATTATGTGGTATGATTACATACCTTTGAGGGCTTACGTATCTAAAAAATCTTTCCTAATTTGATAATATCTTTTTTTTTTTTTTTTTGAGATGGAGTCTCGCTGTCGCCCAGGCTGGAGTGCAGTGGCACAATCTCGGCTCACTGCAGGCTCCGCCTCCCGGGTTCACGCCATTCTCCCACCTCAGCCTCCCGAGTAGCTGGGACTACAGGCGCCCGCCACCACGGCCGGCTAATTTTTTGTATTTTTAGTAGAGACGGGTTTTCACCGTGTTAGCCAGGATGGTCTCGATCTCCTGACCTCGTGATCCACCCGCCTCGGCCTCCCAAAGTGCTGGGATTACAGGCGTGAGCCACCGCGCCCGGCCGATAATATCTTTTTATCAGTAACATTGTCTGGTTATATTTGCTTGACTTCGGCAAGTTCGCTTCTGGAACATCAGGACACTGTGGAGATTAAGTTTCTTCCCATATTGTTGTTTTTCCCCCCAAATCATCAGGCAACCTGAGCTTTGCAATACCCAGAATTGTCCACAGTCCTAGGTCCTTTTGCAATCACGATTACGTCTCCATTTCTTATGTGTCTGTAACCTCATTGTGACCTTCAGTAATTTCTCATTTGAGGTTATTTTTTCCTGGTTTGAAGCATGACTGTGGCAGTCATCTTAATGAATGATGCTTGTTGAGACTGGCCACAGTTAAAGAGTGAACTCTGGCTATCACTCAAGTTTCTATTGATCAGTGAAATTTCAGGGGGGAAATCAATAATTAGCAATTTCTTTTTCTTTCCAAAATATTGGAGGAAACAAAGACATGTGATCGGTTATTTACTACTCCAGTTGGTGCAGAGAATTCAGGAGCTTACCCACAGTCACTTAATCTTTCTCTGCTTTAATGAAGCTCCAGCCCTGACTTCAGCATCAGGTCAATTTGACTGATTGCTGGGGGACTTGCCAAAATTACCTACTGCCCTTAGTTGTTCAATTCCAGAAACTGGAAAATAACTTTGGAGGCAACTTTAGGAGGAAGACTATTTGTCCTCTATATAGTCTAACCACCACCCCAAGACCCCCTATCTTCCTCTTTAAGAAACAGGAGATAGGGCTGGAGGCAGATGGGCTGAAATCTAAAATAGGTTGCAGCAAATATTCCTACAGTCATAAAATATGCAAAAAGCATCCTTTAAATGTTAAGTATTTGGTTGACTCATATGACATTGCCGCTTTTGTAGACTAAGGACAGTGAAATATCAGTGATTTCTTATATTTTAACCTAAATAAAGCTGGCCAGGCTCTGGGGATACAGCAGAAAGTGAGGCAGATACAGCCTTTGCCCTTAAGGCAGGGAAAATGACATGAAGCTTTGTCACATGACATGTTATTAATTATGTTGTGGGCTCTGCCACAGAGCAGGTAACAGAGGAACTTTCCACTGGGGGTAGTTCTGGGATGGCTTCTCTGCAGACGTGACCTGGAGGTTTCATGCTGAATGACGAGCACAGGCTGATAAGCAGAGGCCGGAGGAGGTGGGGACATTTCCGGCTGAGGGGACCACCCCAGGGGGAGCTTGGGGAGCTGTGCAGTGACTACAGATAGAAAGATGGGGTTCATCAGAGCACCACACAGTTCCCTGGGAGGCAACCGCCCTCAAGTGAAACTCCCAATGAGACACTATAGAATTCTAAATATTTTATAATGGCATTTATCTCTAGAAGCAAGAAAAACGCTATGGTTGATGGAAAGACCAAATAGAATTAGATACGACGTCAATAACTTTGCATGGCACTAAAATGTCTTATGGAATTAATTTAGAGTTTACAAAATGGAGATTTCGGTTACACCTGATTTAGGAATTTTACCATTTATAGATGAGATTGTAGTGATTATTCAGATGCAATGAACAGAAGGGAAGAAGCCAAAATCAATCTTTCTAACAAGATTCTCTACACTGCTTGCAAGCTTTTGTGTTTCATCAAATATATATTTGGAGTTATTTTTCCTCCAGATGAATTAATTCTCCATTTCCTGGTTTAAAGTATTTCCTTTCCTGCTCAGCTGTCTCATCTCTGAGAGTGTTTTTATATTTCATCTGCATCATCAAGTATGTTTACCTAAAATGGGCCCTCTGACACAAATTTACACGTACCTGTTCCAAAATTCAGGTTCATTTTGGGGGTCAGAAGCTTTTCCTCTTTAGGAAGGCCACACAGCAAAGTGGTTAAATATAAAAACTAACAAACAGAAAAGCTGGGCTTTGGAATCCACAGGCCTGGTTCTGATTCCCACTGCTGTGTAACATGACTTTGTACAAGGCACTTGATCTCTCTGAGCCACAATTTTTGTTTATTTTAAAAAGGAAGATAATTTTAAAAATGTGCATAATAGAGTTTTTATGAGCAGTAAATGTCATAGTGCATATATTCACTTAACAGAAAGCTTGGCACGTATTGTGCTTAATAAACAGCAATCATCATTTTGTTCAATATTATGTGCAATTCATGATTTTCCTGAAGTAATCAATAATAATAACTTTTATTGAACATACCCTTTTAGGCCAGGCACTGCTTTGTAAATTTAACATATATCACCATATTATTTTAAATCCCCTCAAAGTTGATCTTATTTTTATCAGTTTGGGGAATGAAGTAGTGTAATGCAGTCTTCAGAGTACGGTTTTCAGAGCCGGAAGACCTGAGTTCCATTGCTGATTCTGTAATTTATTAATAGCAAGAACTTGGGACAGTCATTTAGTTCCTCTGGGTCTTTGTTTCCTCATCCGAAAAATGGGATACACTTATCAGCTTATATAGACTTTGTGGGAACTGAGTGTGACATAACATGAAAATTACAAAGTACAGGCCGGGCACGGTGGCTCACGCCTGTAATCCCAGCACTTTGGGAGGCCAAGGTGGGCAGATCACGAGGTCAGGAGATCGAGACCATCCTGGCCAACACGGTGAACCCCACCTCTACTAAAAATACAAAAAAAAATTAGCCGGGCATGGTGGCGGGAGCCTGTAGTCCCAGCTACTCGGGAGGCTGAAGCAGGAAAATGGCATGAACCCAGGAGGCGGAGCTTGCACAAGCATCTGTTCTGCTTGCTGTAAAGACGCATCCAGGAATAAATATAGTCTTTGTCAGAAATTTACTTAAACTAGTGGAATTGGGGCAGGGCACGGTGGCTGACACCTGTTATCCCAGCACTTTGGGAGGCTGAGGCAGGCAGATCACGAGGTCAAGAGATTGAGACCATCCTGGCCAACATGGTGAAACCCCGTCTCTACTGAAAATACAAAAATTAGCTGGGTGTGGTGGCGTGCATCTGTAGTGCCAGCTACTCGGGAGGCTGAGGCAGGAGAATCTCTTGAACCCAGGAGGCGGAGGTTGCAGGGAGCCAAGATCGCGCTACTGCACTCCAGCCTGGTGACAGAGGAAGACTCCGTTTCAGAAAAAAAAAAAAAAGATAATTACAAGGTTCAGCTCCTTATGCATAGTAAACATAAAAAAATCTTAGCCTGTTTTATGATTTTCACAAGGAAATTGAGGCTCTAAGAGAATAAGTAGTTTATTAAGGGCAGCAAATGTCAACACCAAGATCTGAGGGCAGCTCTAAGTCCAAAGTCTGTGTTCTTTCCAGGAGACGATTTGAGTAAGTAACCTTGACCCCTGTTATTCTAAACACTGAAAAGCTTGTCTACTTGCCCTTGTCGGACACAAGTTGGCTAAATAGATTGTGGTCTTTCAGCTACCATATTCACTACAGTTATCAGTTGCCTTGTTTTCCCTAAGGGTGGCTACTTATACCTTACAAAATCATCCATCTGAACTCCAGGACTTTTCAGTAGCAGCTGGATAAGGAATGAGCCATGGAGATAAATACACAAGGATAAGAACTGGCTGCCCTCACATGAAATCCAACATCTTTATAAAAGTAATATGAACATGCTGAAAAAATAAGGGCTTTTCTGCTTATAAGAAGATACATTACATTCGAAATAAAGATTTTCTGCTTATTACTATTTTAATGCATTAATTAAAGGCAGGTCATTATTGAACACATTATCATTAGTTATTTATTTCAAAGATGCATATCGGTGGGCAGGTTTTGTGGTCCACAGTAAGGTTCTCTCAAATTTGAACTTGAGGTTAGATGCTATTTTCCCAATAAAATTAAAATGAAGAGTTTGTCATAAATAAGCCCAGTCATCTGGAGAAGGAATTACCCACCCTAATTGATCATATGTAGTCACTGGAAAGTGTTGCTTATTATTTAAGAAAAATTAGGTCAGGCACAGTGGCTCTTTCCTGTAATCCCAGCACTTGGGTAGGCTGAGGCGGGAGAATCACTTGAGCTCAGGAGTTTGAAGCCAGACTGGGCAACATGGCAAGATCCCGTCTCTACAAAAAAATGCAAAAATTAGCCAGGCTTGGTGGCACATACCTGTGGTCCCAGCTACTTGGGAGGCTGAGGTGGAAGGATAGCTTGAGCCTAGGAGATCAAGGCTGCGGTGAGCCATGCTTGCACCACTGCACTCCAGCCTTGGCAACAGAGTGAGATCTTCTCTCAAAAAAAAAAAAAAAAAAAAAAAAAAAAGGGAAATTATAGCTATCTTATCTAGTTTGCAGAATAATAATATTAGGAGATGAAGACTTAGAGTAATTTAGATATTAGCCACCATGCTAGATTCATTCACGTATCTTTGTTAATTAAATTTCCCCAACAATTTGAGAAACGTCTTACTCTCACAGTAAAATGGTATACCGTATTGTATAACATATATAGGTGAGACAACCAAAGTGCAAGGAGGCTATGTCATTTGCCCAGGAGCACAGTGATGAAATTTGAATTGAAGTCTGACACCAAATCCCATATCCTCTCAATAGAAAAGTAAGAATTCGAAAGTTTCCAATGCTACCCAGAGAAGAGTATGCCTATGAGAACTTCTCTACAGCAGCTCTCTCATCGCCCTCAGCAGATTTCAGTTCTGGTGACAAAGAAATTCCAATTTCTCATTGTCTGTGTCAGTCTCTGTAAGGTATGTCTAGTTAATCACTGTAAAGTCAGATAAACAGAATGTTCCAGAAACACTTATGCTCTTAACAATTCCATCAAGAGTTCAACCCATATGTATCAAGTTCCTATACGCCCAGACACTACACTAAATGCTATGGGTAGTTTAGACTCAAATAATTCATCTTTGATGAATGCAAAGATAAATTAGAGTCCTTCTCTGTCCTTAAGTTTAGCACAGAAGCTCACAACTTCTCATCACAAGATCCAAAATCAACTGAAGAATCCAGGGAGGTGAGTTTTGTGTGGAACAGAACAGAGGGGCCTCTGGTTCAATAGCCCTAACATGATCTAAGGCTATCACAGGGAGCAAATGTAAAACCCTGTGTGAAGGGAAGGGAAATGTCACCTTGTTACTGTAAGTGAAGGCAGGAGTCTGGGTTCCACACTCAGTCTCTGTTGATACCCCACAGCAGGAGGGCCCCTCATTACTCCTGCAGGAAGCAGCAGGAGATTCTGCCCTTCCCACTGGGCTTCTGCCTATGCCAGCCTGGGAGTGTGATGCTCCTCAGGCCCTGAGGTCATCGGCCAGCGCTTGGCTTTCTTCTGCCTTCCAGGGGATTCTTCTGTTTGCTTTATGTATAACGTCCAGGGTTTTTAGTTGACTTAGCAGAAGAATAGAGAAAAGTACTTCTACTGCATCTCCCAGAAACCACTTGTCAATCCAAAGCCAGCTTGCCTTGCGGGGGCTGCACATGGCAAGGGTTGAAGGCTGTGTTCAGCGTGTGTCACCTGCAGTGAAGACAGCCCCATGGGTGCTTCCTGCCCCTCCTGCATCTTGGCCTCACAGCAAAACCATGTCCCATCATAACTAGCCAGTTCCTGGAAAGGCAGACAGGCTGGGACTTAGATGAGAAAACAGTCATTCATCTCTGGATTTAATTCTGTCGTCTCCAGCTACAAGAATAACAAGCCATATGCTGTACTGTATTCCTGGCTAATACCCAGCAAGGAGGAAATGAGCATGCTTATGAATTATCCTGCTGATGTTCTCCAGTTTGCAAATCCAAGTGTTATTTTAAGTACTATCTCTGCCAAAATAATCGTTTCCCACCACGGATGCTTCAATTTGAAAATAACCTTAGAAATTGTCTTCTTTATATTACATGTTCATCTTTACATTTTAAATCTATTTTTAACCCACAAGGGTTAATTTTGCAATAGCCACTGACTTACAAGAATCAATGCGGTATTGGCTGGCTAAAAAATTGCCCTTGCCTGCTAGTATGCAGTGAAAAACAGAAAAGCAGTTATTACCAAGGTCTACTTAAATAGTCAATTAAAAATATGTCTGGGCCTGGTGGCTTATCCTGTAATCCTAGCACTTTCGGAGGCTGAGGCGGGTAGATCACGAGGTCAGGAGCTGGAGACCATCCTGGCCAATATGGTGAACCCTCATCTCTACTAAAAATACAATAACTAGCCAGCCATGGTGGTGTGTGCCTGTAGTCCCAGCTACTCAGCAGGCTGAGGCAGGGGAATCGCTTGAACCCGGGAGGCAGGGATTGTAGGGAGCTGAGATCCTGCCACTGCACTCCAGCCTGGCAACAGAGCAAGACTCCATCTGGAAAAAAAAAAAAAAAAAATATATATATATATATATATGCCAAATAATAGTTATGGCCTAAAATTAAAGCAAATTCAGATGTATTACTAAAAAAGCTGTTTTTCAAGTAGAGGTCAATGCTGAATCCTCAAAAATACACAATAAACCAAAACATTCACATAAATGAAAAGATTTAAAAATCAGAAGCTAAACAGAAAACCTGGATTTACTTTTTATTCTTCAGTGTCTTTAGGTTTGAGTTCTCCTGTGTAACTATGGATAATTGCACATTCTGGCTCATTTTCCATAAGCTCCTGAATTATAGCATCTTTGTTATTATGGTAGTTAATGTGCAAACTTTGAGAATCTACTTATTGCTGGAGAGGCACTCAAGTTCTTTTCCTGCCTTTCCATACAATCCAAAAACATCCACAAGTTCAAAGCGGGGAACAACAGTTAGCTGAGTACATGAACGAAAGACCAATACTCATGGTGAACCAGCCCCCACCAAGACACACACACACACACACACACACACACACACACACACACACACAATGTGAGCCACTGGGTGTAGCCAGAAAAAGGGGAGAGAGAAGCAGGCCATTTTCAAGATGCCCTTCATATCCCTTGAGATAGCTCCACAAGACCCATGGGTCTGAGAGCAGACTACCCAGCAGTGGAACGCCTCCACTCCCAGCCTCTAAATGTAGCACCTTAACAAAACATCTAGAACGGCTTCTGATCTGCTTGTGGATTAAATTCCAATGGATTTTTTTTGCAACGGAGTTTCTCCCTTGTTCTCCAGGCTGGAGTGCAATGGCTCGATCTCAGCTCGCCGCAACCTCCGCCTTCCGGGTTCAAGCGATTCTCCTGCCTCAGCCTTCCAAGAAGCTGCAGTTACAGGCATGCGCCACCACGCCCAGCTAATTTCGTATTTTTAGTAGAGATGAGGTTTCTCCATGTTGGTCAGGCTGGTCTCGAACTCCCGACCACAGGTGATCTGCCCGCCTTGGCCTCCCAAAGTGCTGGGATTACAGGCAAAAGACACCATGCCCGGCCCCTCCAGTGCCTTTTCTTATTGTTTGCTGCCTTTCCTAATACCACCCACCAACTGACCCACATCAAGCCTCTTACGGAGATAACACCATCCATGGGTTCCCTGTCCCTTCTACATGCCATTTGCATGCTCACCTTCACCCAGCTACACTTGCTTATTTGTTTATCCGCAAGTATATGTGAAGCATCTGCTCTATGTCAGGCAGCGTCCTAAGTGGGGAGGATAAACTGCAACCCTGGGACTGCCTGCCTTTGTTCACGCTCGTTTATTCTCAGAGTTTGTACAAACCTCCTCCTCGCCCAAACTCCACCCTTCTCCAAAAGTCCTGCTTCTCCCATGAAAAACATGCTCTGGTCCCTCGTACCACTTCCATGCACGAAGGAGCTGAGACCACACATGTTCATAGGACGCTCCTGTATAGTATCAAGTGCACATATCCACCCACCCCTACTAAGAGCTGCAAGGGGTTTTTAGGAGAATATTCACATCCCATAGCGGGTTGTAGAGTAAAGGTTCAAATCTCAACTTTAGGAGAAAACAGATCACCAAGTTTTATCCCCGGGAAAGGGTGAGAGAATTAACATTTTTTGAGCAACTGCTAGGCCCTTTGAGTCAAAATCTGATTTAATCCTCTCAGCTATCCCAATATTAGACATTATTATTTCAATTTTGAAAATGTTTTATTGTGGTAAAACATACGACACAACATTTAGCATTGTAACCTTTTTTTTTTTTTTTTTTTTTTTTGAGATGGAGTCTCACTCTGTTGCCAGGCTGAGGTGCAGCAGCACAATCTCAGCTCACTGCAATCTGCACCTCCCGAGTTCAAGCGATTCTCCTGCCTCAGCCTCCCGAGCAGCTGGGACTACAGGTGCATGCCACCATCACCAGCTAATTTTTCTTTTTTTTTTTTGAGATGGAGTCTTGCTCTGTCACCCAGGCTGGAGTGCAGTGGTGCGATCTCGGCTCACTGCAAGCTCTGCCTCCCAGGTTCATGCCATTCTCCCGCCTTAGCCTCTGGAGTAGCTGGGACTACAGGTGGCCACCACCACACCTGGCTAATTTTTTTTGTATTTTTAGTAGAGATGGGGTTTCACCATGTTAGCCAGGATGGTCTCGATCTCCTGACCTTGTGATCTGCCTGCCTCAGCCTCCCAAAGTGCTGGGATTGTAGGCGTGAGCCACCGCGCCTGGCCAGAGTTTCCTCCTTTTTAAGGCTACATAATATTCCACTGTGTGTATGCACTGTGTTTTCTTTATCCATTCATCCCTCCACGGACCCTTGGGTTGCTTTCGCCTCTTGATTACTGTGAATAGTGCTGCTGAGAACATGGGTGTATGGTTATCCCCATTTTTCTGGGTAAAACATACAGAAAACAGGATTTCTTACCACACCACTGGGGCTGGAATTCAAACCTAGGAGAGTCGGAATCTAAAAGACATATGCTGCTCTCACCCAAGCTGCCTCCCCTGCATTTATGCAAAGGAATTGATCAATACTGTCCTGACCAGGCCTGTGCAGGACCGAGGAGATGCCAGCATCACCTGCAAGTTTGTACAGAAACTTTGCTGCTCACAAGACCTCCTCCTGTGTGTCTCGCAAACTCAAATCAAAGGAACATGTTGGGCATGTGGTGAGGGGAAAAGATCAGTGATTGGCCAGATATGGAGGGAAGTCCTTCAGTTGTCCTGAAGGCAAAGGCTCCCCAGGCCTTAGCTGCAGCGTGTGCCTTGAGCGCTGGGCACCAAGACTGCCTGAGTTAGTGGAGAAAGCAGGGGTTTTGATTCTGTGCAGATCCAGGCTAAGGTGACATATAAACTCTGTGAGTTTGGCCCACACTTAGAAGAGCCCCAGTTTTCTCATCTATGAAATGAGATTATGATTCCCAATGCCGCTTGCTCACCCAGTTATCAGGGAGGAGTCAAAAAAGATGGTATAGAGATAGTGCTTTTCAAACTCCAGATGTTCTAATCAAATTATCAGTGGCTGCTACCGCTGCTGTCATTTTCTGCACCTTCTCTCTCCTCTCCACTTAAACACTCCCTGCACGCTGCCACCTCTGCCTGTGTCCTTCTCTGTAGCCGAGCTTCAGGCCCAATTTCTACTCTTCTCCTCTGGGGCAGTAGAACATGACCGTACGTGCCCAGGACCTGCAGCCAGACCACCTGGATTTGAGTTCCCAAGAGTACAACTCCAAACACATCACTAAGCCATGCAATGCCTGTCTGCTACCTTACACCATGGAGGAAAAATGGCACCCACTCATGGGAATCTTGTGAGGATGAAATGAACAAGCTCTTGGAAAAGCACCCAGCTCCTGCAGGACTTTCCTCTCAGTGCCTGTGGGCTTCTTCCAAGGCCACTCCTTCTTGCATGGCCATCTCTTGCCATCCTATCTGAGGTCAGCCCAGATAGCAACTCCTTCATTACACCCTTCTTTCCCTCCTTCTCTACCTCCGTGTTAAATATTCTTTTCTTCCATTTGTCTGTGGGCTCCTTAAGAGCAGAGACTATGTCTTTGTCATCCACAGAGCCTAGTCTTGGGTCTAGCACATAGCACAGTGCTCAATGAGTGCTCAGTCAATGAACTAATTAATAATTGGTGAAGAGGTAAATAAACACAACACTCCTTCTGTTCTTCACACCTCAACCCAACTCCCCTAGTTTTTTGTTTGTGTGTTTTAGAGAGAGTCTCGCTCTGTCACCACGCTGGAGCGCAGTAACGCAATTGTGGTTCACTGCAAGCTCCGCCTCCTAGGTTCAAGAGATTCTCCTGCCTCAGCCTCCCGAGTAGCTGGCGCTACAGGTGCGCGCCACCACACCCAGCTAATTTTTGTATTTTTAGTAGAGACGGGGTTTCACCATGTTGGCCAGGACGGTCTCAATCTCTTGACCTCGTGATCTGCCTGCCTCAGCCTCCCAAAGTGCTGGGATAACAGGTGTGAGCCACTGTGCCCAGCCACAATTCCACTAGTTTAAGCAAATTTCTGACAAAGACTGTATTTATTCCTGGATATGTCCTTACAGCAAGCAGAACAGATGCTTGTATTGAGACCCTATGTGCTGTCACCCAAGTGATCTCCAATCAAAATCTTCATCTTTATAAAAAGACTGGTTGCTATAACTACTAATGTGATACCCTTAGAAACATATCCCTCCCACATCGTATTCAGAATTAATGGCTGCCTTAAGCCCCAGGAGTGGGGTGCCATGGAGTGGCTTCACACACAGCTAACTGCAAGCCTGCATGGGGTCATGTCGGCTTGAACTGGGTTCTTCGGATGCAGTACAGCCTTCACCTATGCGGTTGGCCAATCTTGTTATAGATCCCATTCTTTTGCCTAAAGCTTGCAGCTCAACTCAGAATCAATGAAGGCAAAATATCTGCTTTACTGGGAGCAGGAGAAAATCTTGTTGAACACAAATAGGACCGTCTCTGTGCAGCTGGTGCTGAGTACACTTGAGGAGTATGTGTCCATGTGTATTCATGCACACAGACATACACACACACTCATGCATACACAACGATCACACAAATCCATCATTTCCAGAGCAGAACATGGACCTGACTACTAGTATTCCTACAAACAGGCTCCCCCACTCCTTCTCAGTAGAGTTCAAGATGAAGTGCAGCCTCAGACCACAGTAAAAGGTCTTGTGTGTTGAGGGAAGGGAATATGGTCCTGCCATCGTCTCTGTCAGGCATCCCACGTCAAAAAGTATAATAATAATATTATTTGAGAGGCCAATTAAAACCTTCTCAATTTCATGTGGTAAGAATAAAACAAGTCTGAAGAAATATTTGCTCTTTTTGCTGATCTGTACCAAGCAATCTGAGTAAAATCAGTGTTCTCGTGCTACAAATGCAGCTTTCAGACACAGCTACTGTCCCCCCTCTTCATACTCTTCCAGCCAGATTGCCCTGTCAGCCCATCAAGCCCCAGTGAAGGCTGCCCAGGGCCAGGGATGGGCATAGAGGGTATGGCAAGGACACAGTCTAAAGCAGGAGTTAGCGCTTAGTAGAAGCAGCTGACAGTGGAAGCCAGGCTGGATGGAGAGGCAAGGGAAGCCAGACTGATAGAGATGGAGAGAACCCCACAAAGCCAGAGCTGCTGCAGTGGAAGAAGTGAAACGGGAAGAGGACTCCGATCACACGGGAAATGTCTGCATATGAGACCTGGAAGGAGAGCAATGTAGAACTCTATGTCTGGCAACAAGAAGGCTGAATATGCAGAGAGAATAAATAATGAGGCAGCTCTGTGTTGCATGTCGGATGGGGAGGAAACGAACATACTTGAAACTGAGGAAGTCTGAGGACTGTAACTGCAGAAGAGCAAAGGCTCATAGACAGGGAGGCTGCGAACCCCAGAGGACGGAGTCCAGAGTTAACTAGAAGATGGCTGTCTGGGGTGAAACTGAAAGTTGAAAACTTTATCGAAGATGAAAACTTTATTTATACACACTTTTCTAGGAAGAAACGATTCCTATTTGCATGTTTTATTCTTATCTCCAACCTAGTCATGCTGCTTTGTGCTCCAATGAGAAAGACCTTGATGATTATAATCCGAAGAAAGAACAGCTAAAAGTCGACCGCTGTATGGTGAAAAAGAAAGTCAAATAAGATGGGATGGACAGACAGAAAAGAATTAATTATATGTAAACTAAGTAGCAATAAAATTACAGCATGAGTAAAGTACTCTGAGCGCAATTTTTTTAAAAAAGTAATTCAAGTAGTTCTTTTGTATCCTCCCAAGTGATATTTTTTATGAAAAAAGAGTGCTTTCTTTTTTATTGATCTCGGTTAAAATATTGAAAAGAGTCCATAATAGAGAGAAAATTAGTTTTATCCCTTTACTCACAATAAGGATACAGATTGAGTAATAATAATACCTTCTTAAAAATAAATATGTCAGCCAGGCACAGTGGCTTATGCCTGTAATCCCAGCACTTTGGGAGGCCAAGGCGGGCGGATCATGAGGTCAGGAGGTTGAGACCATCCTGGCTAACACGGTGAAACCCTGTCTCTACTAAAAATAACAAAAAAATTAGCCGGGCATGGTGGTGGGCACCTGTAGTCCCAGCTACTCGGGAGGCTGAGGCAGGAGAATGGTGGGAACCCGGGAGGCGGAGCTGGCAGTAAGCTGAGGTCGCGCCACTGCACTCCAGCCTGGGTGAGAGAACGAGACTCCCTCTCAATCAATCAGTCAATCAATCAGTTGCCTTCGTTTGAACTCTAGAGTTCGAGTTACCTGACTAGGACACTTAGGATTCCCAGCAGTGGAGGGGAAGCGCTCCTGTCCACCCTCCCTCTTCATCTGCCCTCATCCTTATTTAGAGAGACATTTCTGGAGGACCTTCCAACCTGCAGCACATGCGACCTCAAAACCACATGTCTCTTCTCTCCCCACATCTGCCCACTTGTCTTGACCTGCAAACTCAGCTTTCCCTCCAGTTCTGGGATACGACTTGTCAATGGTTGCATTTAACAACTCCAGACTGACATTGGGAGACATAACCATGACACAATTTTCCAGGCCCAGCTCTGGTAACCACAACCTCCACTCCTCTCCTGCTACTGTTACTGTGTTTCAGTCCGCCCGAGTACTCAGGACCACTCCCAAAACCACGCACTAGCTTGTTGTCACTAGATCCTTATCAACCTTCTAATGACAATTTCAGAAATCTCAGTCTGGGATACCTGTTGCGGGAAGTCAGGAACCCCGAACGGAGGGACCGGCTGAAGCCATGGCAGAAGAACATGGATTGTGAAGATTTCATGGACATTTATTAGTTCCCCAAATTAATACTTTTATAATTTCTTATGCCTGTCTTTACTGCAATCTCTGAACATAAATTGTGAAGATTTCATGGACACTTATCACTTCCCCAGTCAATACCCTTGTGATTTCCTATGTCTGTCTTTACTTTAATCTCTTAATCCCATCATCTCCGTAACATGAGGAGGATGTATGTCGCCTCAGGACCCTGTGATGATTGTGTTAACTGCACAAATTGTTTGTAGAGCATGTGTGTTTGAACAATATGAAATCTGGGCACCTTGAAAAAAGAACAGGATAACAGCGATGTTCAGGGAACAGGAGCGATAACCTTAAACTCTGACTACCGGTGAGCAGGGCGGAATAGAGCCATATTTCTCTTCTTTCAAAAGCAAATGGGAGAAATATCGCTGAATTCTTTTTCTCAGCAAGAAACATCCCCGAGAAAGAGAATGCATCCCTGAGGGTAGGCCTCCGAAATGGCCACTTTGGGGGCAGCCATCTCTTATGGTCAAAGCTGTAGGGATGAAATAAGCCCCAGTCTCCCGTAGCACTCTGAGGCTTATTAGGATGAGGAAACTCCCGCCTAATAAATTTTGGTCAGACTGGTTGTCTGCTCTCAAATCCTGTCTCCTGATAAGATGTTATCTGTGACAATGCGTGCCCGAAACTTAATTAGCAATTTTAACTTCACCCCAGTCCTGTGATCCTGTGATCTCGCCCTGCCTCCATTTGCCTTGTGATATCTTATTAACTTGTGAAGCATGTGATCTCTGTGACCCACACCCTATTTATACACTCCCTCCCCTTTTGAAAATCAGTAATAATAACTTGCTGGTTTTACAGCTCAGGGGGCATCACAGAACCTGCTGACATGTGATGTCTCCCCCGGACACCCAGCTTTAAAATTTCTCTCTTTTGTACTCTGTCCCTTTATTTCTCAGGCCAGCTGACACTTAGGGAAAATAGAAAAGAACCTACGTGAAATATCGGGGGTGAATTTCGCCTGATATCTGGCTGAATTTCCCCCAATAGATGCCCACCTCCAGCCCTCATGCTCATTTATTCTCGTAGCAGCAGTTCTTCAAGGCCACTGAGACTCCACCCCACTGACGCTGCCATTTCCTCCATCCTCCTCCCTGTCAGCACTTAACCTCACTCATGGCTGAGCTCCCACGGAGTCTACACTCCAACCACTCTTTTGCCAACACTGAAAGTTCCATTGTCTCATGGTTTATCCTCCTCACTGAAAGTCCCTGTTGTGTTGACTGGAAACTCCTACTCATCCCGAAAATTCCCTAAAGAGCTTCTTGTCTTTACATACAGACCCTCTGCCCTATGGAGGGGATGCCACTCATGATTTCCCAACACAATCTTCTTGTTTTCCTCCCTTGCAATAAAAGTGAGCTTCCTACCACATTACTTGCAAAATATTGAAGAAATAGGAATCCTAGTTAGACAAACTCAATCACTCTACATTTTTGATAGCTTGATCTATATATATATATTTACAATTTTTAAAAAATTACAAATAATTTCAGTTCCCTTTACAAAGGCTAAAAACTCAATCATTTAAGGTTAGGTGGGCTGGGCACAGTGGCTAACGTCTGTAATCCCAGCACTTTGGGAGGCTGAGGTGGGCAGATCACCTGAGGTCAGAGGTTTGAGACTAGCCTGGCCAACATGTCAAAACCAAATCTCCAATAAAAACACAAAAAAAATTAGCCA